>NC_000003.12:163705574-163857089 GCF_000001405.40 Homo sapiens | reverse complement strand
ATTGCCTTGCCTAAATTCCCCATGATTATAGTACCCATTGCCCTAAAAATCCCATAGTGGACATGGATGCTCTGATCCAGTGGGTAATAAATTAAAACTAAGTTTTTGGCACTTACAAATTGGCTTTAAAATGGGACCATGTAGACTTTTCCATCTCTCCGAACCACCACTAAAATATTTAATAAGGTCCAATGTAAAATAAAATAGGGTCTTCAAGGATTGAAACACAATATACAAGGTTTATATAGAAAAGGAGTGGTTGATACCACTGCTCCTGCTTATCACAATCCAATTTAGCCTCTTCTTTCTTTCTTTTTTTGCTTTTTCTTTTTCTTTCTTTTTTTTCTTTTTTTTTGGCCTCATTCTTTTATTTTATTTTATTATTATTATACTTTAAGTTTTAGGGTACATGTGCACAATGTGCAGGTTAGTTACATATGCATACATGTGCCATGCTGGTGTGCTGCACCCATTAACTTGTCATTTAGCATTAGGTATATCTCCTAATGCTATCCCTCCCCTCTCCCCCCACCCCACAACAGTCCCCAGAGTGTGATGTTCCCCTTCCTGTGTCCATGTGTTCTCATTGTTCAATTCCCACCTATGAGTGAGAACACACGGTGTTTGTTTTTTTGTCCTTGCGATAGTTTACTGAGAATGATGATTTCCAATTTCATCCATGTCCCTACAAAAGACATGAACTCATCATTTTTATGGCTGCATAGTATTCCATGGTGTATATGTGCCACATTTTCTTAATCCAGTCTATCATTGTTGGACATTTGGGTTGGTTCCAAGTCTTTGCTATTGTGAATAGTGCCGCAATAAATATACGTGTGCATGTGTCTTTATAGCAGCATGATTTATAGTCCTTTGGGTATATACCCAGTAATGGGATGGCTGGGTCAAATGGTATTTCTAGTTCTAGATCCCTGAGGAATCACCACACTGACTTCCACAATGGTTGAACTAGTTTACAGTCCCACCAACAGTGTGAAAGTGTTCCTATTTCTCCACATCCTCTCCAGCACCTGTTGTTTCCTGACTTTTTAATGATTGTCATTCTAACAGGTGTGAGATGGTATCTCCTTGTGGTTTTGATTTGCATTTCTCTGATGGCCAGTGATGGTGAGCATTTTTTCATGTGTTTTTTGGCTGCATAAATGTCTTCTTTTGAGAAGTGTCTGTTCATGTCCTTCGCCCACTTTTTGATGGGGTTGTTTGTTTTTTTCTTGTAAATTTGTTTGAGTTCATTGTAGATTCTGGATATTAGCCCTTTGTCAGATGAGTAGGTTGTGAAAATTTTCTACCATTTTGTAGGTTGCCTGTTCACTCTCATCGTGCTTTCTTTTGCTGTGCAGAAGCTCTTTAGTTTAATTAGATCCCATTTGTCAATTTTGTCTTTTGTTGCCATTGCTTTTGGTGTTTTAGACATGAAGTCCTTGCCTATGCCTATGTCCTGAATGGTAATGCCTAGGTTTTCTTCTAGGGTTTTTATGGTTTTAGGTCTATCGTTTAAGTCTTTAATCAATCTTGAATTAATTTTTGTATAAGGTGTAAGGAAGGGATCCAGTTTCAGCTTTCTACATATGGCTAGCCAGTTTTCCCAGCACCATTTATTAAATAGGGAATCCTTTTCCCATTGCTTGTTTTTCTCAGGTTTGTCAAAGATTAGATAGTTGTAGATATGCGGTGTTATTTCTGAGGGCTCTGTTCTGTTCCATTGATCTATATCTCTGTTTTGGTAAGGCTTTCGGTTTTATTAGAATGTTTGGATATCATTTATTTACTTGTTCCATTTAATAATTGAAAAATATTTTAAATTATAGCCTTGTCTGTTTTTACTTTTAGAGAATTTTAATGATTTTAATTCAAATATTCTATCTCAATGTTGTATCTCCTACAAGTTTTTCCATTATGTTCTATTGAAAATCTAACATTTATGTTGGTGCCCTCCAGTCTTCCACTACGTCCCTACATGACCATTTTTAAACCTCTTTAACACTCTACTATTTTATTAAATTTTACTGAAACAAGTTTAGTGTTTATTCCAAATACTGAGTTTTGTTATTTTTTTAATTAAAAAATACTCCATTCCTGAGTACCTGCTTAGGCTTTTGTTGCCCACTAACAAAATGGGGAGAGTTGTGCAGGTGGTTGCCTTGGATTTCACTGGTGTGATCTAGTGTACTCAGTCACCAAGAAGCAGATTCTAAAGGATCTGAAACGCTCTAGTGTCTGAGTACACTAGAATGGAGCAATGGCATGACCACTGTAGACTTGCTGTTGGTGGCTCTTTATGGTGTGGATTATGGGTAAAATGCCTACCTCTATTAGCAGTTTGGTACCTGGTCTAAATAGCTGGCAGGTACAAGTTGTGGAAGGTGCCATGCACCACTTGTCCACCCAGCAGAGCCAACCTCCACTGTGTGCTTCCTATTGAGCATGATGGGGTAGATTATGAACAGGGTGGGCAAAGGTCACAACTACTGAATCAGCCATTCCTTGAGTGGTCCTTTGTTGGTGACAATACACCAAGTGAAATGATGGCATTGCCCAGTTTCACTGGTTGCTCCATATGTATATTTGAGGGGGATGTGCATAGGACTTCTGCAGGATTTAGCTGGCTATAGAAGATGCCTATATAGTAATTATTTTCAGTTATTTTTATTTTTGATGTACATCTGTATTTTTATTTGTTCTCATTATTTTTACATTAACATTCTTACCATGATGCTCTGCTAATGATGATTCTTCCTGCTGTAGTATATCTCAGAAAACTTTAATTATCTAGTTTTAATTTTAATAGTTTTCATAAGTTTTAGAACATTTTTATACATTGTTTCATCGATATAGGATTTCCTGTTTCAATAAATCTCTTTACAATACTGATGAGGAAAAAAGCAAATAGCATTCAACTGAAAAATAAAAGTAAAAATTAAACATATCCTAGACTATGGGAACAATGAATAATAATTACAATAACAATGAAAACTTTAAAAAAGCCAAAACAACTATATTGAAAGAGAAACACAATGATATTTAATAAAATTATGAAATTATTGATATCTCTTATCAAAGCAAACAAACAGAAAATTTAACTGCTCAGACCATACTTCTTAAAGTACAAAAAGGACACAAAATCCACACCCAGTAAAATGATTGCATTGCCTGGTTTCACTGGTTGCTTCACATGCGTATTTGAGTAAGTTCTAGCTAGAGAGATAAAATTTAAAAAAAGCTATGATAGGAAATCTAGAAAACCTATTGCGAAGGAATGGAATCAGCTGAAATATCACTCTTTATATCCTTCTTATCCTTTATATCCTTCTGGGCCTAGATGAGATAATGAATGTTGAAGCATCAAAAGCTACCATATATCATGATACGTAGTTAAGGATAGAAGACAAATGTTAGTATAGCAGCACAAACATAAAAGCATTTGGATCTTCGATAAAGAGAAGATATTCCACCAGATTTTGTGGAGGAAATGCAAACTTTCATGTTGTTTAGTTGCTGTTCTAGCTTTCTTTTCCCTTTACTAAAAAAAAAAGAATCTCCCTTTCACTTATCTGGAACTATGAACCTTCCTCTCTCATATTTTCACCACTCTTTCTCAGCTAGGTGTTTCTTATTTAAGTATAAATATGACAAATATTTTTCTATTTTTTTAAAGTGATTATTTAGTGTCATATGAATTGCATAAAATAAAAAGGCAAAACCTGTACTAGAAAAAATTTTTGTAAAAAAAAGACGAGTAAAAAGTAATACACAAGGATAAATAATCACAAATTAAATATCTAATTCTAGAACACGCATATATACTAAATGCTAGAATATACACACATATATACATGCATAAGTATATATGTTTATTCTACTAGTTAGATATTTAATATATCTAAATATCACAAATCTACCTAGTGTGAGCTTAATTACAAGAGTAAAACTTAAAAATATCATCAATGTTCACCAATAACGTTAATCAGTAAGTTATTGGTTAAATTATAATAGCACATTCATCTTATGGAAAACTTAAGTCATTAAGGTTTTCAATACATTTTTGCAAATGTATTGAAGAACACGAAGACTTCTAGAAACATTTAAATGTAGAAATTAGGCTATAGAACAATGGGCATAACTCCAAATATATTCATATACATTTATGTAGAGGGGACAAATACTATAAAAGGCTATACAAAATATTAAAAGTATGATGTGAGTCATGTTCTGGGTAATTCTATTTTTCTTGTTTTCATTTTTTTATAATATTTTTATGCATTTTTTAAAAATGTAATCATAAAAGTCAAAGAAGCTGCCAGTGACAATAAGCCAAGATGAATAATAAAAACAGCAGGCTGCTATGATTTCCAAAATCCAAATCAATTCTGAAAGGGCAATTAAGGGAAAGAACTCCTCTTTGGACCAGTAGTGCTGCTTCTCCCAATGGCTAGTGAGTAGAACAAGTGATGTGAAAAAGTTGTGAGACAATTTTAAAAATCATCCTGATCAAATTAGCAATGCCAAATAGTTTTTATGTATGCGTGCTCATTTATTCATTGTCTTTTAAGTTCCTGATTCCCCTTTCAAATCATTACATATTTATACACCCATACCCTTCCCAATTCCCAAGAAACAGTTTCTTAAGGTTGAACTAACTAGAACACATACTGACCTTTCCCTGTTCATATTTTCAGAATTATGTAAATATGTGCATTGCTTTCCACATTCTTGTCGTCAAAGAAATATAAATATTCTGAAACTCCTTCATCTTACTAAACTGAGTTACATCAGCAGAGTCCTAAAAATTATCAGCATAACTCTGTCCACACTATCATTTCATTCTTTTTTACAAGAGTTCCTTCCAAATAAAACGATATCATATATAAATAAAAATAATTTTCTCTAAATACCATGTATGTTAATCTTATTCAAGCACAATATATTTTCTTCCTATAAAAAAAGATATATAAAAACAAGAAAAGTAGCTACAACCTATTCATAATCTCTCAAGACATACTTACTTTTTACTCAACTCTTATCTTTGGAGAAATAGACCATTAACAAAAGGTTGTGAGAGCTATTAATGTGCTGCAAGTTTAAGTAGAAGAACTTTTGAAGAACAATGGAATGATACAGTTTTATATCTATGTCATCAGATGATTCAAACAAAAAAATCAACTCTGTTAATCCTAATAAATGTTTAATTTTCTTTAATATATGCAATCAAAATGAAGTTTAAAAGTTCATTCCAGTATCACTGTGCATGATACAATATATTCTGTTTAAATGTTCAATATTAAACATCAACTTACTACTTTTATGGTGATAAGAGTGCAAATTTTAGCACCGCACAACATCAAGGTGAACACATACTTCTAAGTATATTGTGAAACCTAAACAGCTTAAAATATTTGGAATTAGTCATGTACTCATTTAGTTTATAATTACTTTCAAATTTGAACCAATCAAACTAGAAGCTATGACTATAAAAATATACAAATATTTGGAGTATACACATATAAAATGAGATAACATTTTTTGACCGCTAATATTAAATGTTAAAATAAAAGCATACTTTAGTACAGCAATAGGTATTTTCTCTTTTGCTATCTGTCCTAAGTCCAGTTTCAGAAATATTTGAACTTTTAGAAAAGAATTTTTTAAATATAATTGTTTTACACTAGGATTAAAAGATTTTATAAATGGCTCCTTGAAATTTTGATTGTATTCAAAACCAAATGGGAAGCTTAATTTATTCAATGAATCAAATGTCAAAATGTCAGCTTTTGAAGTATCTTTGAATTGATTTATTAAAACTGAAACTTGCAAATATAAAGAAATTGAAATTTATTTTTAAAGTTACCACACAAGTTAAATAATTAGATAAAAATATGTTCATAATTTAATTTTTAAATTTTATTATTATACTTTGAAACATTTCATTTTGTGAAAGAAATTTTTAGACTGAGCTTATATTTACAATTCAATAAATTTGTATTCTTAAACAAAATGGAATAAAATTGAAAAGGCTTATGATTTTGCCATGACTACATTTAGCAATACATTTTTAAGTGTAAATACAGGAAATTGATGAGCTTGTATAGTAAAAATAGTTTTTGAAGAAAAGTACTTTGAATGAGGACCAAAAAACAGTAAAAGAAAAAAATATGTTCTATGCAAAAAATAGCATTTAATAACACCTTTTAATTGTCAGAGTTTGGTATGAGCCTACAAGGTACCTCAGTGTCTATAGAAAGAGTATTTCTCAACTAAAAGTAGTTTGGCTTACAAAACAATTAGGCAAAAGTGCCAATAATTACAGTTACTTAAGGTTAATGAGCCTTAAAACAAAAAAAATCGAGGTCAATTCTACTACAAAATTTAAAATAAGACCATACCATAAAGAAATAGTTTTCATCCCTTGTCCCCCTCCTCCCCTCCACCCCCTGCCCCACAAGTCCCCAAAGTCCATGGTATCATTTTTATGCCTTCCCGTCGTCGTAGCTTAGCTCCCACATATCAGTGAGAACATACAGTGTTTGGTTTTCCATTCCTGAGTTACTTCACTGAGAATAGTAGTCTCCAATCTCATCCAGGTCACTGCAAATGCTGTTAATTCATTCATTTTTATGGCTGAATAGTATTCCACACTGTGTGTGTTTGTGTGTGTGTGTGTGTGTGTGTGTGTGTATATATATCGTGTGTGTATATATATGTGTGTTTGTATATCTATATGTGTGTGTTTGTGTATATATATTTGTGTGTGTATATATATATGTGTATATATATATATATTAGTTTCTTTATCCACTAGTTGATTGATGGGCATTTTTATTGGCTCCATGATTTTGCGATTGCCAACTGTGCTGCCATATCTTTTTTTATAATGACTTCTTTCCCTTTGGGTAGATACCTAGTAGTGGGGTTGCTGGATCAAATGGTAGTTCTACTTTTAGTTTTTTTTTTTTTTTGAGATGGAGTCTTGTTCTGTCACCCAGGCTGGAGTGCAGTGGCGCAATTTCAGCTCACTGCAACCTCCGCCTCAAGGGTTCAAGCCATTCCTATCTCAGCCTCCCAAGTAGCTGGGACTACAGGTGTGCACCACCAACCCTGGCTAATTCTTTGTATTTTAGTAGAGACGGGGTTTCACCATGTTGGCCAGGATGGTCTCAATCTCCTGACCTCGTGATCCACTCATCTCAGCCTCCCAAAGCACTGGGATTACAAGCATGAGTCATGGGCCCGGCCTACTTTTAGTTCTTTAAGGAATCTCCACACTGTTTTCCATAGTGGCTGTACTAATTTACATTCCCATCAGCAGTGTAGAACTGTTCCCTGATCCCCGCATCCACGCCAACATCTACTGTTTTTTTGATTATGGCCATTTTTGTAGGAGTAGGGTGGTGTTGCATTGTGGTTTTGATTTGCATTTCTCTGATCATTAGTGAGGTTGAGCATTTTTTCATGTTTGTTGGTCATTTATATGTCTTTTTTTGAGAATTGTCTATTCATGTCCTTAGCCCACTTTTTGACGGGGTTGTTTTTTTTCTTACTGATTGGAGTTCGTTGTAGATTCTGGATATTAGTTCTTTGTCAGATGTATAGATCGTGAAGATTTTCTCCAACTCTGTGAGTTGTCTGTTTACTCTGCTGACTGTTCGTTTTGTCATGCGAAAGCTCTTTATTTTAATTAAGTCCCAGCTATTTATCTTTGTTTGGATTGCATTTGCTTTTGGGAAATCCTTGCCTAAGCCAATATCTAGAAGGGTTTTTCCAATGTTATCTTCTAGAATTTTTATAGTTTCAGTTCTTAGCTTTCAGTCCTTAATCCACCTTCAGTTGATTTTTGCACAAGGTAAGCGACGAGGATCCAGTTTCATTCTCCTACATGTGGCTAGCCAATTATCCCAGCAGACTACAAATAGGGTAGGGTGTATAATGTTTGGGTGACAGGTGCACCAAAATCTCACAAATCACTACTAAAGAACTTACTCATGTAACCAAATACCACCTGTACCCCAGTAACGTATGGGAAAATTTAAAATATATATATATATATCTCACCAGAAAGACCTAGAGCAACACTTGAAAAGTATTAGTGTTTCTGCAACAGAATTTAGGACTATTCACAAGTATAGTTAAAAATGTCTATATAAAAGTTATATATGTAAAAATATGAATAATAAATATAATATCTATAAGTAGCCTCATGTAAGTTCAGTTCAAGTTTTGCTAATCAGTTAAGTAAATTCATGACCTAGAGTAGGAAACGATATGCCATACTATCAACTGCTGTTGAAGTCCTAATCCCTGTGAATGTGACCTTATGGAAAATAGAGTCTTTGCAGATATAATTAAGATGCCAATTAATATGGGGTTTTACTGGAGCAGGATGGGCCCTTAATCCGATATAACCCTATCCTTAAAAGAGGCACACAGAGAATGCCATGTGAAGACACAGACAAAGGGAAGATAGCCGTGTGACCACAGAGGTAGAGACTGGAGTGATGTAGCTGTGATCCAAGAAATGCTAAGAATTGCCAGAAACCACCAGAATCTGGAGAAGACAGCGTGCCCCCCCTTGCTGATGCCTGGACTTTGGACGTATAGCCTCCAGAACCACAAGAAAATAAGTCTCTGTTGTTATAAGCCACCTAGTTGGTGGCACTTTGTTACAGCAGCCCAGAGAAATCAATGCACCATCTAGCCAAGGTACTACTTGAATCCATAGCTCCAAACTGCTTTTCAAATTTCAATTTATGATCTCTCTACTAAGAAAATTTCCCTTTTAACACATCATGACTACATTGGGTCATTTTATTCAGTAAAAAATTCTTATATGATACAGATTTCACCTCCTTTTCAGTTATATTTGTTGGCTTGATTAAAAATGTTTGAGATTTTTTTTTAAAAAAGTTATTTTTCAAAAAAAACACCAGTGGTATAGTTTTAGAAACATGCAAGGCTTAGGAATCAACTAAAATACACAATTATACATCACATATAATTACGTTTAACTTTTGCTTTAATACATGAGTTATTTTTATTTTTAACACATAGTACCTAAATAGAAATATTTTATCAACTCAATAATTTGTTGGTCAATAATATATATTTTGAAATCTGTATTTTAATTAGTTTATTCCCAGAAATTTCCTGGCTCACTGATAAATTCTGTGTTCAAACTAGAAAGAGAAAGATTGGCATTTTACTTCATTAATTTTTAAATTTAGATGACTGTGGAAGCCTATGAAGCTGGTAGTAAACAGCATATGTTATTCTAAGGTAACCCTGATTAATACCTTATGATCAGGTATCAGTGATCTCTAATACTTGTACGTATTTATTCTTGTTTTGTGTAAATGATACTCAGTGCTTACAATATTTCTGTCTCTACATCTCCCCCAAAATGCTTTATTTCCATATTCATCTTTTAAGTTGTCTGTTCATCTGTACACAAGGTTTTTCATGAAATTTATATCAATTAGCATGTGTACAAAATATTGATACCTTTTATCTATTATTTATTTTAATTTAATAATGTCAACAATAGTCACTTTTAACTTTTATTTAGGTTCATGGGTACATTTGCATGTCTGCTTTATAGGTAAATTGCATGTTGTAGGGGTTTGATGTACAGATTGTTTAATCACTCAGGTAATAAGCATAGTATCTGCTAGGCAGTTTTTTTATCCTCACCCTCCTCCCACCCTCCACCCTCAAGTAGACCCTGGTGTCTGTTTTTTCCTGCTTCGTGTTCATAGATACTCAGTGTTTAGCTCCCACATATACGTGACAATATGTGGTATTTGATTTTCTGTTTCTGTGTTAGTTTGTTTAGTTGGGCTTCAGTTACATGCATGTTGCTGCAAAGAACATAATCTCATTGCTTTTATTGCTATGTAATATTCCATGGTGTACGTGTACCACATCTTCCTTATCCAGTGTACCGATGATGGACATTTATATTGATTCAATGTGTTTGCTTTTGTGAATAGCGCTGCAATGAACATATGCGTGCAGGTGTCTTTATGATAGAATGATTTATTTTCCTTTGGGTTTATACCCAATACTGGGGTTCTGGGATAGAATAGAAATTCTGTTTCAGTTTCTTTCAGAAACTGCCAAACTGCTTTCTACAATGGCTAAACTAATTTATATTCGCACCAGGAGAGTATAAGCATTGCCTTTTCTCTACAACCTTGCCAGCACCTGTTATTTTCTGACTTTTTATTAATAGCCATTCTGACTGATGTGACAAGGTATCTCACTGTGGTTTTGATTTGCACTTCTCTAATGATTAGTGACGTTGAACATTTTCTCATATGCTTGTTGGCTGTGTATGTCTTCTTTTGAGAAGTACTGTTCATGTCTTTTGTCCACATTTTAATAGGGACTTTCATATTTCCTCGTAAATTTGTTTACGTTCCATATAGATTCTGGATATTAGATCTGTGTCAGATGCATAGTTTGCAAATCTTTCTACCTATGTAACAAACATTCAGCTGTACCCTTGAACCATTGTGTAGGTTGCCTGTGCACTCTGTTGATAATTTCTTTTGCTATGCAGAAGCTCTTTAGTTTAATTTGATCTCATTTGTCAATTTTTGTTTTTGTTGCAGTTCCTTTTGGCATCCGCATCATAAAATCTTTGCCCAGTTCTATGTCCAGAATAGTATTGCCTAGGTTATCTTCAAGGTTTTTTATAGTTTATGTTTTACATTTAAGTCTTTAATCCACCTTGAGTAAAGAAAGGGATCCAATTTCAATTTTAAATAAAAAATCCTCATGTAGCCTATAGTTTTCATTTTGTCATTGAGCATAAAAAATAAAAAATCTTCAAGATTAATAGCAGTTACTTAACACTTCCTATAAATATCTTCCCCTCCCTTTACACCCCTCCTCTTCCCTCAGACTAGGACAACTTTCTTCTTTCATGCATCCATAATATCCACGTACTTTTCATTCAAAGCCTTTTCATAATCAATCTTTTGTGTTTTTCTTTAATCTCCATCTTCTACTATATGGTGTTAGCTACTTGAGGATAGCCCCGTGCTGTCTTTTTCATGATTATATTCACCAAAAATAACACAGTGCTTGATACATGATAGATAATACATATTGAAAATATCAACTGACCATAAAATCATGTATAATAACTTCATTCATTTACATTATTTCATTTAACACACACATATTAAGTGCCTACTATGCAAGACATGACATATTAATGACCAAAACAAACAAAAAATATGTGCCTCATAGGGCTTAGCTTATATTCTTTTTGTGTGAATCAGAAAATAAAGAATAAATGTAACCAATTTACATCCTACATTTCATATAATATAAAAAGTGAAAAGGACTTTGGGAAAATAAAATGAGAAGAGGACAATGAAAATTGAGAGTAAGGGGTGAGAGTAGGAGTTATAACTATAAATAGGGAAAAATAACTATATCTATAAATAGAATGTGGCATTTGATTAAAGCCTTGAAAGAGGTGAGAGTTAGCTGTGGAGATTCTTGGGGGAGAGCACTTGAAATAGAGAGAATAGCTAGTACACAAATCTTAAAGGGGAGGATGCCTGGAGTGTGTGAGAAAAAGCAAGGTGGCTAGTGTTGCTAGATCCCAATGCATCAGGGGAGATCAGTTTGAGAGTAATTATACTTCGTGAGTTCTTGAAGAGCATTCTGGCAAAGTTCAATAAATTTTTACTCTGCTTTGAGTTTATTCACTTGAATGAATATATAAGAGGAACTGTATACACTAAATACATTTGCTTTTACTAAATTCAGCGAATCTGGAGAATAACTGAAAAAATGCCCAAGATTGACATTATTTGTTATACAAGGGCAGGCATCTTATTGATACTGAAAATTTAAGCTAGACATGTATTAAAAAATGACTTTCATTTCACCATGCGTATTTATGTGTCTACTAATAATTGCCATGTGACACGGTTTTTGCTCAGAAAATGTGTTAAAGTTTTGCTAAATGAAAATCATATTTACAAAATAAGAATTACAGTTCATTTACACAGTGAATAAGTTATAGAATATTGAGGCATCACAAACAATAAAAATAAAAATCTTGAAATTGGCAATAAAACCAAGGAGAAGGTTATATAGTCCACAGACCACAGGGAAATAAAGTTAAAAGGTCAGCATGATATATTTGGAACAAGGACCAATTTTAATAAACTCCATAATATAGAACTCTTAAATAATGCAGAAAAAAATGTGTTTGGGTCCTGTTCAGATTTTCATGTTACTCTTCATCATAATAGTGTAACACCTTTAAACAAAGTTGCCTTTTCTATTTTAGATGTTGATTATTTTAAACAAGACAAAAATTGTGTGGAAGTATAGAAAATCTTGGTTATCCAATTCAAGGAATGTATGAAAATCCATCTAGTCTTCAATTAAGGATGTAGAATTTTTCCCATTCTTTGATGTATACTCAAATAAGAAAATATTTTCAAAAATAGCATTAGAAAAATCATTTGATTATTGTTTCCTTGTAAGTATACTGTCATTTTTAAATATGCTTTTCACAGATAGATATTTAATTAAGGCAGCTTCTGAATTTTCTCCCTTAAAAATACGGTTATGTCTTGTATACCATTGCATACCTATTTAATTCTCCTAAACACAAACATTGTAGATAGCCTAGTATTTTATTACTAACCAATGAAAGAAAAAAAACACTTGCAAAAGATGCATAGTGTTAAAAGCTATTTACTTCACAGTCCTTATTTATATTTTACCCAAGCTACAAATAATTGAATTTTAATTATGAACAATTCCATGTCGTAAAGAATTTGTCATATAGAAGAGTTTTTGATACAAGTGATTTACATAAGTAGTATCAAGAAAGTAAACAGTGTAAAATTCTGTGACTTTAGGATGTTTATTAATATTTTTAAAAATTCACATACATTAAATCCTAAAATCAATAATTGTGTTTTAATGTCTTCTTTTCTTCTCATAAAACATTAAGCCTAAATTAATCGTGACATTCTTTTCATTATACATTCTGAGTTATTTCCTTAGAAAAAATGCCATTCCATAATTTCTCAGATAAAATTATTTTCAAATCTAAGAAGTAATTCTTGCTTCATTGCTGTTCGTAGTTGCTCCATACTAAAGAGGTTAGCAAAAGACAGTCTCCACATAAACTAAAATACAAAATGGTACAAATTGCTTATATATGGTAATAATGAGAAGGAATTATATTAAGTGTGATTTAAGTGAAATGATGGCAATTATTTTTCATATTGCATGTCTAATCGTGTGTCTGGGATACTATAAAGTCCTTGTGTTAATCAGGTCTTTTGGAAGCAGTCACTGACATAGAGTTACAATTGCAAGAGACTTATTATAGGATACCATTTTTGAAAGGTGAAAGGGGAGGGAAATAAGATTAGGCAGGGGAGGCCTTCAGACCTAGAAGCAGATAGAATACCTGGTACAGTAAAAGGGCAGGCCAGGATTTGGCAGGGAGAGTCTTCAGCTTAGTCCTCTCATTTATAGTATAATGGAACATATATAGCTATTTAAAAAATATTTTCTCTAATCTTTGTTCTTGTCTCTATAAAGATTCCCCGTGTGTGTGTTTTACTTATACTTTTTTTTTCAAAACTAGACCCCTAAATTAATATCTACTAGTGTCCTGTGACTATTTTTAAAGCAAATAAAATTACATAGAATAAAAAATTCAGTTTGTTAGTCAAATTAGCTAATTTCAAGAGCTCATGAGCCACATATGGCTACTGGCTACCATATTTGATAGTGCAGATATAGAGATTTCTTACAATTGCAGATATTTCTATTGAGTTACTATCATTTAATCACTAAGTTCCAACACAAATGGCAACATTTACGGACTGATTCCTATATGAAATATACTGAGTAATTTGAACAAGACATCTCTTCCTTTGCCTCTTGAAATATATATTTTAAAATATATTTTATGTATTTAAATAAGGAATATATATTTCTTATTTAATATTACAAATAAGAAATTTATATGTTATTGATTTAATTATAATTGTGATAATGATATGTGTTACTAAGGGTAAGTACAAGGTGCTACATCCCAGGTGTCATGACCAAGGCAAATACAGATTTCATTAAAGAGGAATTGGTTGCAAATCACTAAGAAAATGCCAAAAAAAGAAGTAACCTCAGCAAAACCTTGTTGTGAATTTATGTATGTCTGTACTGGGTATTGGTAAGAAATACTTCGTGTTAGGGAATATAGAAATTCATTAAAAAAAAAAAAAGACAGGGAATTTCTACTGGGCCAGAGGAGATAAAATGAGGAGAGAGAAATTGAATTGAAAACATTTGAAAGATGTTGAGTGTGTGTGCATATGTGTGTGCGTGTGTTTGTGTGTGATATGAATGTGCTTATGAGTATTAAAGAAAATGGAAAGAATAAAAATAAGTGTTCAGATTGTGTCATCTTCATATTGTTACAGAATAAAATAAATAAGGATTTATGCAGATATTTTTAACCAAAGTTGTCAGTTACCTCCTATAGTTTTTATTTCTGTTGTGAAGTACACAGTGTTATTATTTACTGGTGAGGAGACATTTAAAAAACTTTCAGAATTTTGTAAAAAATAGAATATGGTGTGTGATATGGTTTGGCACTGTGTCTCCACTCAAATCTCACCTTGAATTATAATAATCCCCACAGGTCAAGGCTGGGACCAGGTGGAGGTAATTGAATCATGGGGGCAGGTTCCCCCATGCTATTCTCGTGATAGTAAATGAGTTATCATGAGATCTGATGGTTTTATAAGCATCTGGCATTTCTCCTGATGGCACTCATCTTCTTTTCTGCAGACCTGTGAAGAAGTGCCTTTTGTCATGAATGTACATTTCTGGAGTCTTCCAGAGCCATGTGGAACTGTGAATTAATTAAACCTATTTTCTTTACAAATTACCCAGTCTCAGGTATTTCTTCATAGCAGCATGAGGATAGACTAATACAGTAAATTGGTACTGCAGAGAGTGTGGTGCTGCTATAAAGAGACCCAAAACTGTGGAAGTGACTTTGGAACTGGGTAGCAGGTAGAGGTTGGAATAGTTTGGAGGGCTCAGAAGAAGACAGGAAGATGTGAGAATGTTTGGAACTTCCTAGATACTTGTTGAATGGTTTTGACCAAAATGCTGATAGTGATATGGACAATGAAGTCCAGGCTGAGGTTGTTGCAGATGGAGGTGAGGAACTTGTTAGGAACTGGAATAAAGGTGACCTTTGCTATGCCCTTGCTCTAGAGATCTGTGGAACTTTGAACTTGAGAGAGACGATTTATGGTATCTGGTCGAATAATTTTCTAAACAGCAAAGATTTCAAGAGGTGACAGAACATAAGAGCTTGAAAAATTTGCAGCCAGATGATATGATAGAAAAGAAAAAAAAAAAACATTTTCTGTGGAGAAATTCAAGCCCACTGCAGAAATCAGCATAAGTAATGAGGAGCCAAATGTCAATCACCAATACAATTGGGGAAAATGCCTCCAGGGCATGTCTGAGACCTCATGGTAGCCTCTCCCATCATGGGCCCAGAGACCTAGGAAGAAAAAATGGATTCCTGGTCTGGGCCCTGGTCGCTCCCGCTCTGTGCAGCCTCGAGACATGGTGCCCAGTGTTCCAGCTGCTTCAGTTTCTGCCATGGCTAAAAGTGGCCAAGGCATAGCTTGGGCCATTGCTTCAGAGGGTGCAAGCCCCAAGTCTTGGTGGCTTTCATGTGGTGTTGAAACTGTGGGTGCATAGAAGTTAAGAAATGAGGTTTGGGATCCTCTGTCTAGATTTTGGAGGACATATGTAAATGCCTAGATGTCAAGGCAGAAGTTTGCTGCAGGGGAGGAACCCTCATGAAAAACCTCTGCTAGGGCAGCATGGAAAGGAAAATGTGAGGCTCGCACCCCCACACAGAGTCCCCTCTGGGGCACTGCCTAGTGGACTTATGAGAAGAGGGCCACCATCCTCCAGACCCCAGTATGGTAGATCCATAGACAGCTTGCACCATGCACCTGGAAAAGCTGCAGACACTCAATGTCAGCCTGTGAAACAGACAGGAGGCTGGCTGTACCCTGCAACGCAGCAGGTAGGAGCTGCACAATGTCATGGGAGCCCAACTCTTGCATCAATGTGACCTGGATGTGAGACATGGAGTCAAAGGAGATCATTTTGGAACTTTAAGGTTACTGACTGCTCTGTTGGATTTTGGACTTGCATGGGGCCTGTAGCCCCTTTGTTTCAGCCAATTTCTCCCATTTGGAACCAGTATATTTACCCAATGCCTGTACCTCCATTTTATCTAGGAAGTAAATAACTTTCAATTTTATAGGCTCATAGACAAAAGGGACTTGCCTTGTCTCAGATGCGACCTTGGACTTGGACTTTTGAGTTAATGCTGAAATGAGTTAAGATTTTGGGGGACTGTTGGAAGGGCATGATTGTGTTTTGAAATGTGAGGACATGAGATTTGGGAGGGGCCAAGGGCAGAATATGATTTGGCTCTGTGTCCTCACCCAAAATCTCACCTTGAATTGTAATAATCCCCATGTGTCAAGGGCAGGACCAGATGGTGGTAATTGAATCATAGGGGCGGTTTCCCCCATGCTGTTTTCGTGATAGTGATTGAGTTCTCACAAGATCTATCTAATTGTTTTTAAGTGTTTGGCATTTCCCCTGCTTGCACTCATTCTCTCTCTTGCCATCCTGTGTAGAGGTGCCTTTTGCCATGACTGTAGGTTTCCAGAGGCCTCCACAGCCATGTGGAACTGCGAGTCAGTTAAACCTCTTTTCTTTATAAACTACCTAGTCTCAGATATTTCTTCATAGCAGCATGAAAATGGACTTATACAGTGTGAGAGAGTAATATTATCAGAGAAATATTGTGTGATTAGTAGGCAGTGCTGAAGATCCAGTTGAGGTTTTTGATCATAGAGTTACATACGACACCAATATGTTCCTTTGTGATACTTTTTCTCCATGTTCAGAGCCTCTGAAGAAGAAACATAAAAGCTAAAATATGGGCTGGTCAGTGGTCAAAACTTTCAAAAAATGTGCCATTTAAGGACAAACACTTTTCTGTTGTCTTCAATATTAAACTGTTTATATATTAATTAAACCATGATAAACTTAACTATTTTAAGGAAACATAGATTCAGTGAGAGGTTGTACCTTAGAAAAAGATATGTGGTATTCATCTTCTATCAAACAAATGATTTTATTAATTTCTAACAAATTGAAAGAAGACTGGGGGACATAACTACATGCTATGAAGATCTATTATCTTTCTTAATGACAGGATATTTGAATAAAGAGAATATTTATGCGGTGAATATCCTGTCTTCTCTATAAAATTAAAGCTGTAGTTTCCACTGTCATGTTCTCATCAAAATCTAAGGCCATTCTACCTGAATCAGTGATATATGGACATAAGACAGGGAAATACCTGTAGAAAGGGTAGTTCCCTGGCAAAGGCCCCACTCTCAAGCCTGAACAACCCTGGCCCTAAATGAGGACAGTCATTTCTGTTTTCATGCCCCAAAAGTTGCCTTTTGGTCTGCCACACCCTTCATCCTGTGCCTATATAAACCCGAGACATTAGCAGGCACAGACACAAGCAGCTGAATGTTAAGAGGAGAAGAGAAACACACCAGAAGACACCAGCAGACCAGTGATGGGGGAACAACATCGGGAGAAAGAGAGAAGAGGAAGGACATCAGGAGAGTGAGTGGAGTTCAGAAGGGGCAGTTGGAGAAGAGTCCCGGCAGCTGGACAGCCCAGCCCCAGGAGAAAACCACCTTCCCATTCCATCCCCCGCTTCCGGCTCCCCAGGCATCTCGCTGACAGCCACCTCCACCACTCAATAAAATTTTGCACTGATTCTTCCAGCCCACCTATGATCTAATTCTTCTGGTACACTGGGCAAGAACTCAGGCTGTCACACTGGTCCGCTGCCCTTGCAATAAGGCAGAGGATCTATTGAGCTGATTAACACAAATGGTCTGCAGAAGGCAAAGCTGAAAGAGCACACTGTAACACACGCTCACTTGGAGTCATAGACCCCTAGATGCTGCTATAGAGCCAGAGCTCAAAAGCATTCCCCACAGCCAGTACACCTGGGGCACTGCATGCTCCCCCTAGGAGTTTGAGCACGGGGGCAAAAGTAGCAAGCCACACCCCTGTCGCATATCCTGCAAGGGGGATAAGGAACCTTGCCAGTTTCATCAGCATTATCATTAGTGGGTATCATCATTATGTCATCCTCATGATGTGTCATCAGAGCATGGTTTCCTTAACTAGATTGACTTAAAAATATAAAATTCTGATCACACCACAAAATGTTTTCATTAAGAAGAGATATTCAATTTATAAATTATAATTTGTCTTAATTTGCCATGAGAAACTTCAGCAAATAATTTAAATGTTATTTTATGTACTTACAGTACTGATTATTTCTACATTTTTTGCCCATGAAAGTTTGGAGTTTTCATATTATGCATCAGGAGAAAATATCTGGAACATTAAGGAAGACCTTAATTGATATTACATTATTATAATACATGCTCTATTAAATTGAAATTTAAAGCACATTAAAAGGAAGAATTAAATGAAGCCTAATAACAATAATCTTAATCAATGTGAATTGGATATATTATATAGTCATTAGGAAAATTATGTCTTCAGGAGAAAAACATAATTTGCATTTGATTCCTAGATTTCTTTGCTATGTATAATTTAATGTTTCCCTGTACTATAAATTTAAACACAAGTAATCAAAATTTCTAGGGATATTAGATTATATATGCACATATGCAAATATATGTGAAATTTTAAATTCTTTTTTTGTGACATCCCATTTGAAAAAAGTAAAAATATCCTGAATTTAAAAAATTATGAGTATGAGTAATTGTGTAAGTTTAAATAAAGCTATTTTAAAGTCAAAAAAGGAAGGGAGGAAATAACATTTATTAAACACCAACATTTTATTTTGTAGGTTTATCAGGTATTTTCCATATATTATCTCATTTAATCCTAATATTAACTTGAGAGTGATCAGGACTTGTGATATTTGTGAACTGAATGTTCAAACAAGAAAAAAAGCCTCTGAATATAGAAAGCCTAATTTATCAAATAAGTAAAAAGTTTTTATTAGTTAATAGTTGTCTATTATGCAGCACTTTTGAAAAATTTCCTGAAACTTTATTAGGCTCAAAATTTGGGGGCTTTAACTCTTCTAACATGGGATATCAAGATACAATAGGTGTTGTGGCTGCTTCAACCATCACAGTAGGTAAAATTTATCTTTTTGTTTAATTATTTTTTAACTAAATTTAAATAAAATAAATATATAAAAAATAACATTTAAAAAAGATACAATAGGCTTCCAAGTTCTCTTAACCAGGATTAGACAAATCCTCAAAACCACACAAAATACACTGTAACTCAAAGATTTCTGTCTTTTTTTTTTAAAGATCGAAAGGAAATAAGCAAGAAAATGTAAAATATTCCTCATGGAGTTAGTTTGGAATTAGAACAGTTTATTCATTTATTTATTTATTTATTTATTTATTTATTTATTTATTTTTTTTTGACAAATGTTTTATGAGCACTTACTGGCACGGCTACACTGGTCTAGACACAGAGACAATGGTTGAACAAGAGTGTCCATTTCACATTAGCAGTCAGAACCAATATATCTGATATTTTAGTTTAAGCAGAAACCCAATGTAAGCAAATCGCAGAGGATTACCTATTCTCCATTTTGACAAGTGCGTTAGGATCTCAAGGCTAGAAAATTTGAGCAGGAAGAATTATAGCTATAATCAATCCAATCTCATCATTTATGGGTTATAGATATATTTATCTTCTTTTGTCCTGAAATATTATTGGTTTGCCATTAACCACCTGAGGTAATTCAACTATACATCTGGGTTAGAAGTGCTGAAAGCTCATCAGGTCAATGCAGGTAAATATTCCTTGAGTATCTAAGAGAAGTAAGACTGCATTGATAAGTTGAATTGGTCAGGTTAAACCCATACCAGGGTTCCAAGATCTTTGATGTGGGCCGCCTCTTTGAGTCTCATATGTTGAGATTCTTATTGAAATGAAAGAATATTCTTTTTCTTTTTAATTTTATTTATTTATTTCTTCTGAGATGATTACATGAAGGTACTTAACAAGGGAATGAGCATGGCTGCAAGAAAGATTTTTAATGTTTTTGTATAAGAAGTAATTCTTTTTCAAATTTCTGTGTCGTAAAGCATTCATTTTCATCTATGACTTCAAGACAAAATTGAATGTTTCCAGAAATAGAGAATTTCCTCATCTCAGACAAATTTTGTACCCCCAGAAAAAAATATAGCTTCCAGAAACACAAATCCAAATTTAAGGATAGAAAGAGAAATACAGAAACACAAAGCAATAGCCAATATTTTTAAGGTTCTTGGAGGGATTAAATTCCTTTTTAGAAAGTAAATAATTTGAGAAACATTGGTTTGTAACTTATGTGCCTTAGGGTGGTACCTACAACTAATACTTTACCATAAAGGACTTGACTAAGTAGTTGAATTATACCTATAACAAGTCTGCTCTCATGATTTATGGGTCATAACATTTCAGGAACCATAATTTTAAGTTCTTTAGTGAGGAGGAACTGGAGACCATTTTACTGCTTTAAAGTTAATTTTATGTAAGCACATGCATAGTAAAACAAATGTTTTTATTTCAGAATTTGCATTCAGAATAGTCTGGACTCATATTCTTTTTCCTTTTCCTTTTTTTTTTTTTTTTTTTTTTTTTTGAGACAGAGTCTTGCTCTGTCTCCCAGACTGTAGTGCAGTGGTGTGATCTCAGCTCACTGCAACATCTGTCTCCTGGGATCAAGCAAGTCTCACGCCTCAGCCTCCCGAGTAGCTGGGATTACAGGTACATGCCACTGTGCTGGCTATTTTTTTGTTTGTTTGTTTGTTTTTAGTAAAGATGGGGTTTCACCATGTTGGCCAGGTGAGTGTCGAACTCCTGACCTCAGGTGATCCACCTGCCTCAGCCTCCCAAAGTGTGAACTCATTTTCTTTATGGAGTTCTGGACTTAAGAATCCTTCGGGAGATACATATATATTATATACACATTCATGTATACATACACAAACACACACACCCAAATTTACATGCATACATATATAGTATGCATGTGTGTGTATGCACACGTTTGCATATACATATGTGTACATATGCTATGTATAGATATGTATATATACACATACTATATGTATATATACATGTGTGTATATATACACGTATGTATGCATATGCATATGTACATACTATATACATACATGTGTATATATGCACATAAAATGTGCATATACACATACACACTATATATGTATGTATATTTTTGCGTATGTATACATACATATGTATATAATATATATGTATCTCCAGAAGGATTCTGAAGCCCAGTACTCTATAAACAACTTGTATGTGTGTGTGTATAAAACAGAACTTGTTTTATCTTTGCTGCTCATTTAAGTTTTGTTGGTTTTTACATTCTATTAAGTACCTAATGTACAAATTTATGCATTGGTTACTAACAGCAAGACACACCACTTTTATTTCAGTATTTCTCTTGGATTCTTCCTTTGCAATTTCTTTTGTCACTTATTCATGTTTATCACTCACAGCTAATATATCTAATTGAAATTTAAATGTAGATGTAAGGTTAAGCTTAAGTCCCTACGAAATAATGACCTTACTGTCAGAATTTTCACATAATTAATTACTAATTTCCCTACCTAGCAGATTGACTACAATATAGCAACTACCTCTTCGTGTTTCAGCTGTTTAAAATCAATGTTTTCTGTGCTCCTGAATTTTTGAACTTCAAAAAATGCAGATTTATGCATACTAAATTTGTTATGTATTAAAGTATAAGAACAAATTATTCTTCTATTAATTTATAATTAAACTAGAATTATAAAGTTGATAAATATTTTATTTTGATTTGGTCAGTGTGTTGTTTTACTACATGATGAAATATATTTTTGTATTATATATATGAATTACATAAGATGAGCATAGAATAAATGTACAATGCAAGACAGCAATATTATTCATATATTTGATAATCTCAGAATCTCATTTCTGTAAACTAAAATTTCATATCTATATATGATGTATTAATATTGGATTCTTAGTACATCCTTTCATCTGGATGGTAATATCTGGGCTTTGATATGTAACCTGTGAATATATCTCCTTTCTGATTGTTGTAATTATGCTTTAAATACATCAATATCATCTCTTAAAGTAATGAGAAAATACTTGCTTTTTTACTTCTAAATGGAAAAACATTTTTTCTTTAATATTTATCTGTCATATATTTATTATATTACAACTATATATAATATATTAATGTACGTTATAGTATATTATAAGAGATAATCTTGTATATTTATTTAATAGCTTAAGTAAATTTTGTGTTCATTTTTGCCACCTGTTTGTAATTCTAACAAATTCTCGGTTTACATTTTCTTCCCTTATTCTCCAAATATCCTCCTCTCTTCTCTTTGCAACCATTAACTTCATTCTATTACCCTATTCTCATCTTGTACTCTAATCCTAACTTCAGCACCATTTGTTATCTTCTTATGTTTATGCTTTTACTCTTGGCTCCTCCCTCAAACTCTCATCCCACTCACTATAAATCAAAGTGCACCTCTACATCTCATATGATTAAGCCCAACTTACTGTATCAACTGTCCTATACCCCTGAAAAATCCCCAGTATTCTCTGGAATGAAGCAGCTAAATGTCCCATGGTTATCTCGGTGGAGCAGAATGCCAACTCTCCACTTTCCAGATAACAATAGTAATGTCTACTTATTGTCTCTAGTTGGATTTCGGATTGTATATTCTAAGGGCAGAAATGTTAAAATTATCATTAATATCCTATTATGAGTATGTCATAGAAAACATAGGGCATTTTGTCTGTGTGTCTTATTGGGAGATGCCATAACATAGTTCTTAAGTGTCCTGCCTTTAGATTCAGGTATTTCATATTCTATCTACCTATTATCACCTGTGTGATTATTAAAAGTCTCAGTTTCTACAACTTTGAAATAATAATATTACCTAACTCACAAGGTTGTTGTAAAGAAAAAAATCAGATAATCTCTGTAAAGTAGCTAGCAGAGTATCTCCTCTTAATAAATGGCAAGTCATCATTATTATTTATCAAATAAAGATTTGTAGATTATAAAATAAATTTTTAATTAAAAAGGTAATTATAAATGTACTTTTTAAATATTATAATTTATGGATGGAGAATTAGCTCATGGTTACTATGTCTATCTATTTAAAAATAAGAAATGAAATGACTCTATGTTCTAATCAATTTTTCATAGAAAAACACAGAAGCAAGAATAAATAACACTTGGTATTATTGTTTTTAATGTTGTTTTATTTTACTCAATAAATAGCATATGAGCTTATTTCTGCCTTAGCAAAATCTGTGAGAAATATCCTGTAAGTCTGTGACTTACAGGATTCAAAGTTACTTAAAACTTCTTTCAGTAGTGTTAAAAATACACTGGATATTATTTTTAATAATATACAGACTAAAAAGGAGCATTGCTTATTCTAAAACTCATGTCTTTTCAAAAACATATATTTTGTTGCTAAACATATATTGTGTATTGAGGTATAAGAAAACTAAGTATCATTCTGTACAATTTAATAACTGATCAAAAGTTTGCTCAGTAAAATTGGAAAGAATTTTGTGTTTTAAGAATTAACATATTAAACTATATTTTGAGTCAAAGAGGGGTGAAACAATATTTAGAAAGCATTATCTTATACTAATATTATCTATTGAATTTTTTTACAGTCTTCTGCACATTTGGAGCAAAAGAGACACAAATTGGAAAATAAAGGTAAAAAAATGTGTAATGCATAATACTACCATAAAATAAGAGTATTATGAAAAAGAGAATTATTACATTTTAAATAATCTAATTTCCTTTAGTTGTACATTTTTTTAAGTATAATATTTATAAAAAATGATTTACAACAGGAAGTCATACAAGCTCTGTTTCTGTAATAGTTTGGTTATAAAAGATAGTTTTCCTAAAAGATTTTTGTTGTTGTTATTTTTAAGTAAAATATGATAGGCAGTTAAAATTTCCTTCTGGCCCACTGTGGAATTTACCATCTGAAAGGTCACCTAATGTTTTATTCCAGTTACACAGGAAAACAACTGATTTAATACATGCAACTGGCATTTGAAAAACCTAGGTGGGTCTCAAAGGAAAATTGCCCAACTTCTCCCAAGAACTTTCGTCTTATAGATGTACAACCAATAAAAGTGACGAAACCAGACAAGGACAAATAGTAGAGCTGTTAATAATAAGGCAAATAGTCACCAAAGATAAAAGTTTTCAAGACAATCAAAAGATTTTAGAGAATCAAAATATTCTATAAAATGTTTTATTATTCCTTAGCTATAAAATATTCTCATTTGGTTTTATAAAAGAAATAACACTAAAAAATGCATACATTAAATTCTATCTTATTCTTAATCATAGATATCTCTGTGAGTAAAGCAAAACTAACTACGTAGTTTGGGTGACTCAGTGTAAAACAAAAATGCAGTGCCCACTTCTAGCTACTGTTAAAAAATTAAGATAGCAATAGAAGAGCTTTAATGCAAGCACAGAGACCTTTTAAGTTTGGGGCCCTATGTGACCGCACAGGTGACATACTCTTCAAGCCTGCCTTGGGAGGGATCTCTAGGGACCTCAGAGGAGTGCATTGTTTTTGAATTGAGAATCTTGGTTCACAATGAAGAGGTCTCAGCTGGATCTTGCTAGGCTTCCAAGATGCTGGTTCTCCCAAAATACCATTAAAATGAACTAATAAGAAAAATCTAAATTTATTCTGTGACAATGGAGAAGACTCATTTGAGAGAGTCTTGCTAAAATCTTGAAGTGGAAGAGAGTGAAGTTGGGATTTGTATGTATTTTTAAGTCTAGTTTAAGATGATCTTTACATCCAGAAACTTCATTGGGATTGGGTAGTAATTATGATATAATAATATTTGTGATGATAATGAATGAGAATTTTGAGGCAAGGGTTCTGAAGAGTCAGGAAATCAATCAAATATAAATATTGTAATGGAATAAAAAAGATGAACAATTTGCTGTTCATTTCAGTAGGTTTTGTAGCACATCCCAGACATGAATAATAAAGTTGTTGAAACTTGCATCTTCTTTGAAAAGGGTCTGCTTTAGCAGTAAAGTCATGTTGATAAATACCACAACACAATGGAATAGCAGAGTTGTGCTAACATAGTATGTAACCTACATTTGTATAGTTTGCTTTTCAAGAATAAAACATATATAACTAAAAAATATTGCTACTAAACAGAATTAAGCAGTTTCTCCTAATACGGATAACTAAAATAGTTTCATGTCTCAAAATCAAAATTGGAGAAACTACAGAAATGAAAGCGAAACACAGATCCCAAGAACTAGTTGAGAGAGAAAGATAGAGGGAGGGAAAAAAGGAAACACTAAGAAAAAAATAAAAAAAAAAAAACTTGGGAGATGGAAGATTTCTTTGAAAATTTGTCTTTCCCCTGATTTGCTTAAGCATAATTATTGCCTGTCTCTTCACTGCAGCAACATAGCAGCAGCCACCAGACCACTCAGTAATATAAAAGAAGCATAGGCCAGGCACGGTGGCTCACACCTGTAATCCCAGCACTTTGAGAGTCCGAGGCGGGCGGATCACTGAGGTCGGGAGCTCAAGCCCAGCCTGACCAACATGGAGAGACCCCGTCTCTACTAAAAAAAATAGAAATAAAAATAATTAGCTGGGCATGGTGGCACATGTCTGTAATCCCAGCTACTCAGGAGGCTGAGGCAGGAGAATCGCTTGAACCCAGGAGGCGGAGGTTGTGGTGAGCCAAGACTGTGCCATTGCACTCCAGCCTGGGTGACAACAGCGAAACTCTGTCTCTGTCTCAAGAAAAAAAAAAAAAAAAGGAGCATGATGTGTCTGCTTTTATGCAAACTGGCAAGATACACTTGAGCTTTTATTTTTCTGATCATTTTTGGTCCAAATTCCCTGGATTGGATGATTGAAAGACTGTCTCTTACTATTTTTTTTATGCTAAGGATCTAAAACTCAAATTTTTACCAGCCAAGTTTTGTGTTGTCATGGCAGTAAAAACAAATAATTAATAGTCTTTAACTGGTACCTGGGCCTCCTCTTAGACTTATCAGACCAACACAGAATTTCTTTGGTCTTTCTCCAATTTAAATGGGTTGACATTTGCTGATATATCCAGAGAAAATGAACCCATAACTATCTAAAGAAAGGGCAAAAAACTGAATACATATAAGTATAGATTTATATTTTATATAAATAAAATCATTTATTTTATTATTTATTATTATATTTAATTATTTTAACACTAACACTAATATATTAATGTTATTATCAAACATATATATATAAAATATAGAGGTTATCTGTATTAAAAACACAAGTGCACACACATGCACACACACATATACACAGCAGAAAGATATAGGAACTTAATAGCATATGAACCAGAAGCCATACAAGAGTCATTATATAAAAATATTATTTCATAAAACTTAACTTATAAAGGTTAATAAAAAGCCTAAAAAGGATAAATAAATGGCCCCAAAGGTGCAGCAAAATGAAGATAGAATGGGAAAATAAAGAAACAGGCAAAAAAGAAAAATTAAGAGATTGAGAAGATTGACATATTAAAGCCAGTATTGAGAAGATGAAAATCATACAAGAAGAATAAAAAGTCAATGGGAAAAAAACTGAGGAAAAATTAAAGATACATGGTTCAGAATTAAGAATAAAGGAACCTGGTTTCTGGTTCAAGATGGCTGAGTAGAGTCATGAACCACCCTTTCCAGAAAGAAGAACAAAAATTATGAATAGATAACAATACCTAAAATAAAACAGTAAAATCCAACAGAGAACTCATGAGAAATACTTGAGGCACAGAAGGAGAAGGAAAAGTGGTCAGCTTGGCCAAAATTGGCCAGAAGCCTGGAAGAGCTCAGTATTACAGGGAAAAGGTAAAAGAGAGAGAAAAAGAGCTTGGCTTGTCGGCACCCTCACCAAAGATGGCCGGATTAAAAGCACTGGAAAGCTCCTCTACCCACACTCACCCTGACACTACTGTGGGTGATGACTTGGAGACCCCCATAAGGGTACCCCAGAAAGGAAACTTGCTTGCTCTGTGTAACTAATCTCTTCCCACTGACTTCAAGACCTGACTGGTGACAACAGGGTGCCACTTTGGGAGCATAGCCATCACAGGACTAAACTCAGCCCTAGGATTCACAGTTCCCAAATCTCCACATCCCAGGAGCTCCTGCTGACATTCCCAAGGGTCCAGAGAGAGGGTAACAGTGGCACAGTGCTGGCTGGACCAGAAGGTGCTGCAAGTTCCCTAATATTATAGCCCACAGAGAGCACTACTCACCAGAAAAAGGATGGTGCAGTGCTACAAAAGGAAGCACACAGGACAAAGAAAAGCAAAGCACATGCTTTCCACAGGCTGAGAGTTCTCTGCTTGGAGCTGTAGGAACTGACCCCACCCCTAGCAGCAGCAAAAACTCTGTGCTTAACTTTACAAACAAAGAGAGAAATTCCCTCCCACTGGTGGAGGAACCTTCATGCTGGGACTTAAGCATAGAGAATGAGATCTCTAACCCACTACCCACCCCAGCATACTCACTCTTGCTGCCTCTGAAGGCTGAGGTGGGAGAACTAGATGGCTGCTGGTCTGTGGTTCTGAATGGCAACTATGACCCCAATAGTGGCATAGCCTCTATGCCTGGGCATGGGCACAAACGGCAGGGTCCCTCCACTCCCTCTCAGCGGAGGTGCGGCACTGCTTATACAGAGGGCAGAAAAACCTACATCATCAACACAGCCCGCAACAACAGTGGCCTACACCACTCAGGACTGAAAGGGTTATGCTTCCACTGCTACTGCTATTGCCCACTCTATGCCACCTGCCTAGGGTCCTGATTGCCTGTTCATTGCTGCCACTACTGATACCTATGCAATGTCCACCTGGAGGCTCAAGAATCAGCTTGCCAGTAACTGCCAATATAGGTGCCAACACACACGACTCTGGGGCACAAACATAGGCATACTCAACCCATCACTGCTACCACTAGTGCCTGAAGCCTGGGCCATCTGTCTTTTCAGTCCCCAGCACAACTTTACAACTGCCTTCACTAATAACCACACCTTAACCCTCTAAATAAATCACAGGAAGCATGAATGCTGTTTATAGCCAAAGAAATCATACAGAGACTACATACTGTACGTATCCAGAATCAATACCAAAGTTTCCTATCTAACCGACACTAAAAATTAATTTTTAGGAATAAGTCCCTCCCTATGAAAAGAAATTCAAAAATAGGGAGAAGTGGCTGGTACACTAGATTCAAGGATATTAACATAAGGACATAGGAATAATGAAACAGCATGAAAATGTTACACCTCCAAAGGACCACAACAGTTCTTAAACAATAGATATCAATAAAAGCTTTTGAAACCCTGAATTAAAAATTCAAAATATTCATTTTTAAAAAACTCAGTGAGTTACAAGATGATTCTGAAAAAAATTATACAAAGAAATCAGAAAACAATTTAGGATATAAATGAAAAATTTGCCAAAAAGATAGATTTTTTAAAGTACCAAACAAATAGAATTTCTGAAACTGAAACATTCATTGAAAAGAATACAAAATATGCTTGAAGACTTCAGCAATAGACTAGAACAGGCAGAAGAAAGAATCTCAGAACTTGAAGACATATCTTCTGAAATATTTTGGTCAGACAAAAATAAAGTAAAAAAATAAAAGTGAATGAGAAAAATCCTTATGACATTTGTGACAAGATAAACCAATCAAATATTTGAATTACTTTCATCCCTGAGGGCAAAAAGACACAGAAAAAAACTAGAAAATCTTTTTAACTTAGTAGTTGATGAAAACCTTTCAAGTGTAGCAAGACACTTAGATATTCACATACAGGAAGTTCAGTGAATCACAGTTAGATACAATGCAAAAAGGTCTTCTCCATGGCACATTATAGTCAGACTGTCTGAAGTCAAAATGTAAAGCAGCAAGAGAAAAGCATCTAGTCACCTATAAGAGAAACTTCACTAGAGAGAGGGTTTCTCAATAGACATGTTACAGGCCAGAAGAGAATAGAATAATAGATTTAAAATGCTGAAAAAAAACACCCAAGACTATTATAACCAGTAAAATTATTCTTCATAAGTGAAGGAGAAATAAAGTCTTTCTGAAAGAAGCAATGGTTAAGGGAATTTGTTACCATGAGACTGGTCCTATGAGCAATGCTCAAGGGAATCCTAACCCTGGAGGCAAAAGAATGATGCTTATCATCATAATAAGTAGTATGAAACTTCCTGGTAAAGAAATCACATAAAGGAGGAGGGGAGAGCACCCAAAGGGTACCACATCAAGAATACCACCAAACTACAATGACAATCAATTAGAGAAATAAAAGGAACAAAGAATATACAAAATAACCAAAAAACAATAAGACAACAGGAACAAAGACACATCAATAATAACTTAAAAATTTAAAGAGATTAAATTATTCACTTAAAAGATATAGACTGACTACGTGGAAAAAATAAAAACAAAACAGGATCCCTCAACTTAATAGTTTACATCATCACCTTACTGAGCATAAGACAGATAATCTAGATTAAAAACAAACAAAGAAACATTGGACTTTAATTAAACTGGCTATTAGGCCAAATGAACCTAACAGACTTTTATAGAGTATATCTTCTGACAACTACAGAAAACACATTCTCTTCATCAGCATATGAAACATTCTTCACCATTGATCATATTTTGGGTCACAAAACAAGTCTCAACAAATTTTAAACAATCAAATTTTTTCAAGTATCTTCTCAAACCCAAGAAAATAAAACTAGATATTAACACCAAGAGGAACTTTGCAAACTATACAAATACACTTTTGAAACAAAAGAAAATGGAAACACAACATACCAAAGCTGTGAGATACGGCACAAGCAGTGAGGAGAGGGAAATATATAGCAATAATGCCTACCTTATAAAAGTAGAAAAAATTGTAAATTAACAACCTAACAATGTACCTCAAAGTACTACAAAAGCAAGAACAAACAAAATCAAAGGTTAGTAGAAGAAAAAAATGAAAATCAGGTTAGAAATAGTTAAAATAGAGACTAAAAAATACAAAGGATTGATGAAATGAAAAGGTGGATCTTCAAAAGGATTTTAGGCAATGATAAATCACTGACTAGATTAATCAAGAAAAGAGAAGACCCAAATAAACAAAATCAACAAAAAAAGGAGACATTATAACTGATACTACATAATTACTAAAGATCATCAGAGGCTATTATGAACAACTATATGCTCACAAACTAGAAAAGCTAGAAAAGAGTGATACATTCCAGGAAACATACAGCCTATCAAGATTGAATCAGGAAGAAATAGAAAACCTGAACAGAACGATAATGGATTTTGAGATTGAATGAGTAATAAAAAGTTTCCAACAATAAAAAGACAGAACCAAATAGACTCACAGCCAAAATCTACCAAACGTACAAACTAGAGCTAATACAGTTCTCCTGAATCTATTAAAAAAAAATTGTAGAGCAGAGAATTCTTCCTAATTTATTCCATGAGGCCAGCATCACTCTGATTTGAAAAAGAAATAAGGACACACACAAAAAAAGAAAGCTACAGGCCAATATCCCTTGTATACATGCAAAATTCTCAGCAAAATACTAAGAAACCAAATCTAACAGCAAATACAATGAAAATATACCATAGTCAAATATATGATAGTCAAATGAGATTTATACTAGAGATGCTATAATTGTTTAACATATATGACTCAATAAATGTGAGACATTACATCAACAGAATGAAGGACAGTAACCAAATGATCATCTCAATAGATGAAGATAAACATTTGATAACATTCATCTCCCTTTAATGATAAAAATTAAACCAAGTAGGTATAGAAGGAATCTACCTCAGCATAATAGAGGCCATAGATAGTTAACCACAACTGACATTATACTGAATGCAGAAGGCTTTCTTCTAAGAACTGGAAAGAAACAAAGATGTCCACTTTTACCACTCTTATTCAACATAGATCTGAAATTCCTAGCCAGAGGAACCACATAAGAGAAAGAAATAAAAGGGATCCCAACTTGAAAAAGGGAAAGTCAAATCATTCTTCTCTGATGATAATATCATCTTATATCTAGAAGGTCAAAAATACTCCATGAAAAAATCTTAGATTTGATAAATTAATTTTAAAATGTTGCAGGATACAGTATCAACATACAAAAATTAGTAATATTTCAACACATCAATAATGACTTAGCCAAAAAGAAATTAAGCACACAATCCCACTTGTAGTACCCCTGCAAAAAAATAAAACACTTAGGAATAAATTTAACCAAGGAAGTGAAAGATCTCTGCAAGGAAAACTAGAAAGCTTTGATGAAAGAAATTAAATATAACATAAACAAATGGAAAAATATCCCATTTTCATGGATTGGGAGAATTAATATTGTTAAAGTGACTATTGCCCCAAACAAGCCACAGATTTAGTGCAATCTCTATCAAAATACTGCCATTCTTCATGAAATTAGAAAACAATCCCCAAAAGTATATGGAACCAAAAAAAAAAAAAAAAAAAAAAGATCCTGAGTAGCCAGAGCAATACTGAGCAATACGGACAAAGCTACAGGTATGACATTACCTGACTTTAAAATATATTGCAATGCTACGGTTATGGAACTGGTATAAAAATAGACCCATACACAAATGGAACACAATAGAGAACCCAGAAATCATGCCGCATACTTACAACCAAATAATTTTTGACAAAGCTGACAAGAACTTCCATTGGGGAAAGTACATCTTCTTCAATGAATGATATTGGAAAAACTGGGTAATTATAATACATGCAGAAGAATAAAAGCGAACCTAATCTCTTAACATATATGAAAAACTTACCTCAAATTGGATTAAAGAATTAATTGTAAGATGCCTGCAGAAAACCTAGGGAAAACTCTTAATGAACATTAGTTTAGGCAAAAAATTTATGACAAAGACCTCAAAAGCACAGGCAACAAAAACAAAAATAAATAAACATGACATAATTAAACTACAAATGTTCTTCACAGAAAAAAAGAATAATCAACATAGTGAAGAGATCATTTGTTGGATGGGAGAAAATATTTGCAATCTGTTCATCTGATAGGGCGCTAATATTTGGATTACACAAGGAACTCAAACAACTCAAAAGGAAAAACAAAACAAAACAAATAATATCATTAAAGAGTTGCCAATAGCCATGAACAGACATTTCTCAAAAGAACTTCAAATGCCAACAGATATATAAAAAATTCTCAAAATCATTAATAAACAGGTAAATGGAAATCAAAACCACAATGAGATATCATGTCACCCCAGTTAGAATGGCTACTATTAAAAAGACAAAAAAGCAGTTATTTGTGAGAATATTCAGAAAAGTGAACTCTTATACACTGTTAGTGGGAATGAAAACTAGTGCAGCCACTGTGGAAAACAGTTCCAAGACTTATCAAAAAACCAAAAACAAAACTACCAATCAATCTAGCAATCCAACTATGATGAATCTATCAAAGGAAAAGAAATCAATATATTCAATGATAGACCTGCAGTTGCAAGCTTATTATTGCAGCACTAATCACAATAGCACAGATACAGAATCAACCTACTTGTCTATCAATGGATGAATGAATATAGAAAATGTTATATGTATATATATATATCACATTTTATAATATATATTATATATCACATATATATGTATATGTATACGTGTGTGTATATATCTACCTAAACACACACACATACACGAACACACACACACTGTAATACTATTCATCCATTAAAAATTAATGAAATCATGTTATTTGCAGGAACATGGATAGAACTGGAGATCATTATTTTACATCAAACAAACCAGGCACAGAAAAGCAAATACTGCATATTCTCAGCCATATGTGGGAGCTAAAAAATTAGATCACATAGAGGTAGAAAGTGAAAAATAGATAACAGAGACTGGGAAGGGTGAGTGGGGGACAGGGAGGATGATGAAGAAAAGTGGGCTAAAGTCTACAAATATAGAACGAGACCAAAGGAATAAATTTAATGTTTGAAAGTAGAGTAGGGTGACTATACTTCACATAAATGTATTTTACTGAGGTGATGGAACCCTAAATACGCTAAATGTGTGAGTATGCATTACATACATGTAACAAAATTTAACCTGTACCTCATACATTTGTACAAATACCAAATATATCTATATATCTATATCTATCTATCTATCTATCTATCTATCTATCTATCTATCTATCTATCTATAAAATCCTGATTTTGAAAGGACCCATCAAATACCAAAGAGGAAATAAAATGACAACTCAAGACCTGGAATATGCTATGGTAATTTTTGAAAATGTCTAAACTAAAGAGAAAATTTAAAATTATTCCTAAAGAAAGGGCAACTGATTATCCACAAAGGAAAACAATCCATTGAAAATCACTTTTATGACGAAGATATTGTATTCCAAAAATTATGAAGTATTAACTTTTAATTATTGGTATATCATTTTAAACATATTTATATAGAAGTATATTTTTATTAAATTATGAGCTATGAATATATTATTAGGCATGTAAGCTAAAATGTACTCATAGTGAAAACAATTTTGGTTAAAGTACTATGATAATAAGGAATGTACTCATAGTGAAAACAATTTTGGTTAAAGTACTATGATAATAAGGAGAACAAATACAAGATCTGTTACAAAAGCTTTGGAAAGTGAAGGAAATATATCTGAATATTCATAATTCAAAATAAAAGAAAAGAAAAAAATGAGTATAATATATAGACAAAATCCCAAACCAAATTCCATATGTCAAAATAATAGGAAGGAAAAGTGAAATTGGAAAAAACAGCATGAGATCATGTTTCTTATGGAGGAAGAAGATGATGATTTTTAAAAATTAAATATTAATATGGGAAATAAATATAAATTGTGTCTAGAATTAGGAGCATCCAGCACAAAAACAAAATAGTGATGAGAAAAAAAGAAAAATCAGAAATGAAAAATATAATGTACATGGCATAACTAGTTTCTCATATAATTATAATAAATGTATATGAATATTACCTAATTAAAGTACTCACACTGTATTTAAAAACAATATATAGTTTTATTGTTGTCTATAGAAGACCTCAAAATAGAAATAGATAGTTTGGAAATGGAATGATGGAATTAAACACATTATAGGCAATTACGGACCCCAAAAATGAGGTATCAATTTTAATATCTATAAAATTTAGAATTATAGTCCAAGTTTCATATGGAACATAAAATAATAATGTATATATATAAAGATATATAGAAATATAAACCATATCATTAATATATTATATTCCAAGACATCTTAAAACGTATAAAATGATAAATAATATAAATGCAAAGAGAAAGGCTAAATCAAGATTGTAATTGGTAATTTTAATCTACCGTTATCAGAAACTGATAGATTGAGTAGATAAAAACATGCAGATCAAAGACTGAAACACTTTATATGACCTTGAATTCCATCCATGTTGCTGCGAATGACAGGATTTTATTCTTTCTTATAGCTGAATGGCATCCATTGTGTATACATGTCACATTTTCTTTATCCATTCATTCATTGATGGAAAAGTAGGTTGATTCCATATCTGTGTTATTGTGAATAGTGCTGCAATAAACATGAGAGTGCAGATGTCCTTTCTTTTGGATATATACCCAGTGGATTCCTGGATTGTATGGTAGATCTATTTTTAGTTTTCTGAGTAATTGTCATACTATTTTTCACAGTGGCACAACTCATTTACATTCCTACCCACAGAGTACTAGCATGCCCCTTTCTCCTCATCCTTGCCAGTATCTGTGATTTTTTGTCATTTTGATGATAGCCATTTTAACTGGAATAAGATGATATATTATTGTGCTTTTGATTAGCATTTCCCTTATGATTAGTAATGTTGAGCATGTACTTGTCGGCCATTTGTAGTCTTCTTTTGAAAATTGTCTATGTAGGTTTTTTATCCATTCTTAAATGAGATTTATTTTTGCTTGTGTTGTTTGAATTCCTTGTATATTCTGGTTAGTAATCCTTTGTTGGTTAGATAGTTTGCCAATATTTTCTCTCATTCTGTAGGTTGTATCTTCATATGTCAATTGTTTCCTTGGTTATGCAAAAGCTTTTTAGTTCGATGTAATCCTATTTGCCTATTTTCATTTTTGTTGCCTGTGCTTTTGAAATCTCTTCCAACAAGTCTTTGACCTGAAGCATTTCCCCATTCTTTTCTTCTAGTAGTGATAGAGTTTCCAGTATTACATTTAAGTTTTTAATCTAGTTTTATTTACTTTTTATATGGTGAAAAATAATAGTCCAATTTTCTGCATATGATTCTTCAGTTTTCCAAGCACCACTTATTGAAGAGACTGTTTTTCCCTATTTAATGTTCTTCGTTCCTTTGTTAAAAATCAGTTGCGTGTAATTGCATGAATTTACTTCTGGGTTCTGTATTTTGTTCTATTGGTCAATGTGTCTGTTTTATGCCAGTACCATGCAGTTTAGTTATTATAGTTTTGTAGCAAAATTTGAAGCAAAGTAGCATGCTGCCTCCAGCCTTGTTTTTTTTTTTGGCTATTCATGGTCTTTTGTGGTTCCATAACAATTTTAAGATTTTTTTTTCCATTTCTGTGAGGAATGTCAGTGGTATTTTGATAGACATTGCATTAAATCTATAGAATCCTTTTTGTCTTTTAAAAATATTAATTCTTCAAATCCATGAACATGGGATTTCTTTCCATTGTTTGTGACTCTTCAATTTATTTTATCCATATTTTATAGTTTTGTTCGCAAATATCTCTCACCTTCTTGGTTAAATTTATTCCCAAGTATTTTTTTTGTAACAATTGTTAATTAGATGGCTTTCTTAATTTCTTTTTCTGCTAGTTCAAATAAATAAAATTGGCGGCATTACTTTACCTGACTTTAGAAACACTATTTATTTTTACATGTCAATTTTATATATTGGAAATGTTCTCAGCACAGGAAATGATAAATGTTTGAGGTGATAAATATTCTAATTACCCTGATTTGATCAATACACAGTGTATGGATGTATCGAAATATTACCTGTACACCATAAATATGTTCAATAACATTTTTATTGTACGATTTTAAATATATATATATATAAAGGGAAAAATACTAAAAAATACTTTTCATTATAATGATTTATGAGAAATCCTTAGACTTCAATACTAACAAATTGTGAATACACTTTTTTCTAAGAACGCATGAAATTGTCCAAAAATATTTAAGTATGTAATATGTCAAAAATTAAGCCTCAATAGAATTCAAAAGATAAATATCAGTTAATAAAATAACATAATTAACACAATATAATTATACATAGTTACAGGGTAAAATTTGATTTTCAATGTCATTTATTGAAAGATAGATGTATACATAGAATAATGACAAAATAGTGGTAATTCCATATCTATCACTTTAAACCTTTATCACTTATTTTTGGTGACAACATCCAAAATCTTTTAGCTATCTTAAAATACACAATACATTGTTATTTGCCATAGTCACCCTACTGTGTAATAGAATACCAATACTTATTCTGGTCTAACTGTAATTTTGTACCTGTTTACCAAACTTACCAGTTGCTCAATGTCCCCCATACTCTTACCAGCCTATGGTAACTACAATTCTAATCTCTGCATATATGAAATCAGCTTTTTAAATTAACATTTTCACATATTAGTAAGATATGTGGTGTTTGTGTTTCTGTGCCTGGTTTATTTCACTTAAAGTACTTCAGGTTTATTCATGTTGTTGTAAACGGCAGAATTTTATTTTGTTTTATGGGTGAGTAGTATTCCATTGTATATGCCATATATATACACATACACCATATACTTAACTTTTTAGTTCTTACATATGTGCTGTATATATGCATATATGGCATATATGGTATATACAATGGAATACTATTTATCCATAAAACAAATATATGTTTTACAAAAAATACATCATTTTTCCTTAGAAAAATAAATATATGTATATACGTGCAATATTTTCTTTATCCATCCGATACCAATATAGACAGTTCAACTGATTCCATATCTTGACTATTTTGAATAGCACTACAATAAATATGAGTATGCAGATGCCTCTTTGACATACTGATTTTGTTTCTTTTGAATATACACCTACCCAGTAATGGGATTGCTGGATCATATAGTAGTTCTTTTTTTAATTTTTCAAAGAATATTCATGCTGTTTTCCATAATGATTATACTACTTTATATTTCTACCAAAAATTTGTAAGATTTCCCTTTTATCCATATTCTTGTCAGCATTTATTATTTTTTTTTGGTCTTTTCAATAATAGTAATTCTAATTGGGGTGAAGTGATATCTCATTGTGGCTTTGATTTGCATTTGTCTAAAAATTAGTGATTTTGAGCAATTTTTCATATATCTCTTGGCCATTTGTATGTCTTCTTTGGAAAAATGTCTATTTAGGTATTCTGTTCATTTTGAAAATCAGATTAATTGGGCTTTTTGCTATTGAATTATTTTAGTTTCTTATATATTCTGAATATTCACCTTTTGTCAGATACATAACTTATCAAGAAAGCAATTTTATTTGCAATAACTAAAAAAATGACATAGCTAGAAATAACCATAATCAAGGAGGTAAAAGATTTCTACAGTGATAAATATAAAACATTGATTAATTCATTGACAAAAGAGGATACAAATGAAACTGTATCCTGTGTTCATAGATTGGAAAATTAATATTGTGAAAATGTCCATATTACCCAAAGAAATCTACAGATTCAATACAATCTCCACAAAAATAATGATGGCATTCTTAGCATAAATAGAAAATCAACCTTAAAATTCAAATGGAAAGGCAAAAGACCTAGGATAACCAAGCAATCTTTATCAAAATAAATAAATAAATAAAATTGGAGACATCACATTATCTGACTTTAAAATATACTACAAAGCTATGGTATAAAAACCTACATGGTACTGGTATAAGAACAGAGAAATAGCTCAATGGAAGATAAATAACTCCATGACTTTCCAGCCAATTTATTTTTCACAAATGTACCAAAAACATACATCGAGGAAAGGGCTGTCTCTTCAATGAATGGTGTTGGGAAAACTAGATATCCAGACACAGAAGAATGAAACTTGACCCTTATCTATTACTATATTAAAATCAATACAACATGGATTAAAGACTTAAATATAAGACTCAAAACTGTGAAACTATTAGAGGAAAACATGGGGAAACACTTGATAAAATTAATCTGGGCAAGCATTTTTTTTTAATAAAACCTCGAAGGTGTAGGCAACAAAAGCAAACATAGTCAAATAGGATTACATCAAATTAAAAAGCCTTTACACAGCAACAGAAATAAACAATACAGTGAAGAGACAACCTACAGAATAGGAGAAAGTATTTGAAAGTCACATCAAGTAGTTTCTAGGACAAAATACAATAAAATCAAAATAGCAATAGTATAGCTTACAACAATTATATAGACATTAAAATGATATAACTCCATGTTCAAAAAAATCTATTAAAAATAGTAAATTTACCTAAACTATAACAAAAATACATAAATTTATTAGAAAATGGTGATGAAGCAGATTAAATCCAACTATGGTTACAACTTACATTAGTGGACATTTATGATTATAGTTAAAATTTGTAAAATATTGATTTAAGACTTATTTTTATTTTTCTCTGTAAAAAAAGTTCATCCAGCTTTATTTGTAATAGCTTCAAATTGGAAACAACTAAGATGTCTTTCAATGGATGAATAAACAAACTGTTTTACATCTACACCATGGAATAATATATAACAATAAAAAGGCTCAAATTATTGATACATGCAACTGCTTGTGTGAATTTCCAGAGAATTAAACAAATCCCCAAAGATTACATTCTGCATAGTTTTATTGAAATAAATGTTTTATGACAAAATATTAGAAATGAAGAATAGACTAGTGGTGGCTAAAGATTTAGAGAATGGAGGAGTGAGGTGGGTGTGTTTTTAAAAGGGCAGCAGGAGGGATACTTGTGGCTATAGAACTGCTCTGTATCCTGACTGTGGTGGTGGAGCGCAAATTTACAGATGTGATAAAATTGTATAGAACTAAATACACATAATACACACACAATTAAGTACAATTAAAACGGGGAATCTGAATGAGATCAGTGGATTATATCAATGTCTGTATCCTGGTTATGATTTTGTATTATAGGTTTGTGATATGTTACCATTGGAGCAAACAGGTAAGACTTTACTTTTTAAAACATTTTATTTATTTATTTTATTTGGAAGAACTGAAACAAAAATATGGAATCAGTCGATGTGTTTGCTCTTGGGGGATATGAGGCAGTTCCACGAAAATTAAAGGAGTTAGCCCACCGTAATTGATCCCTGCATACTTCGTCAAGGTATGCCAAAGATACAATTCTGATTATCCTCACTAGTCTTATCATGATAAAGAGTTCAGAAAGTTAGGAAAGCCAGGAGCAAATTTTCTAAGTGCAAGTTGCATAAACTGAATCACACACCACAGCACAGAAGGCAAAGTTCAAAGGTTGTCAATATCATACGCTATTTGGAGCTATCAGTTTTATGTAGGTTATCGATGAAAAAATCAGAGAACTCTGGAAAGTACCAGCTTAAAGAAGAGAAAAATGTCTGGACATAGAGAAATTTCAATAACGGAATGTGGGGTTGGGAGACTAGTAAATGCAGACATTGGCAAAGGGTAAAATTGATCTTTCAGTATAATTGTTAGCCAGAATACTGTTATCTGGTGTTTCAGATGCTTCAGGTGTTTCAGTCAACAGTTATATTTATTTTTGTTGTAATGTTTTAAATTGCATTTTTCTATGACTGCTGTTGACTTGGTTAAAACAGTCTCTTTTCTTTCTTTAATTGACCCCTTTTCTTATTAAACAAAACTTTAAATGGAAAGATTTTTAAATGTGAATTTTTAAAAATTTTGTGTATAAATAAGGTCTCACTATGTTGCCCAAGCTGATTCTGAGCTCCTGATCTCAAGTCATCCTCCCACCTCAGACTCAAAAGTGCTGTCCAGAAATGTGAAGTTTTTAGATGCCAAAATGCATTGGTGTTTTAGTATTTGGATCTGAAAATCCCATAGATTACCTTCAAATAATTTTTTCCTAAGATTTTGTTTGTTTTGTTTTTTTTTCAGTTTTAGTCTTACTGAGAATGCTAAACCTCTTCCTTCAGGCTAGCAGAGTTTCAAGTTTCAAAAATAACCATCTACAAACCAAAGCCAAATTTTGTGTGCCTTCCAAACCAAAAAATAAGGAAAAGAGACTATACAGGCAAAGACATAAACACTGGATTTTACTTTGTTGGCATGAAAATTGATAGAAAATTTACCATAACTGATTTAAGACTTTATTTAAACAAATATGATAGCACATTCCAAAATTAATATGATGTCATGAAAAATTATAGATGATTACTTTTGTGGAGTCTTACCCATTATAGGGAATTTTTTATTTTATTATTATTATTTTAATAATTCAAATTTCTATTTTCGATTCAAGGGGTGCATGTGCAGGTTTGCTACATAGGCATGTTGTGTGATGCTGAGGTTTAGGGTATGGATCCTTTCACTCAAGTAGTGAATATAGTACCCATTCGGTCATTTTTCAAACCACACCCTCCCACTTCCCTCTTCCTTTTAGTAGTCCTCAGTGAATATGGTTCCCATCTTTATGTCCATGTGTATTCAATGTTTAGTTACAAAAATTAACTCAAAATGAGTTAAAGATTTAAATGTAAGATCTAAAACTGTAAAAATCCTATTAAAAACCCTAGAAAATACCAATCTCAACACCTGCCATGGCAAATAATTTTTGGCAAAGTCCTCAAAAGCAATTGCAACAAAGTCCTCAAAAGCAATTGCAACAAAGTCCTCAAAAGCAATTGCAACAAAAACTAAAATTTACAAGTGGGATCTAATTAAACTAACAAGATTCTGCACAGCAAAAGAAACTATCAATAGAGTAAACATACAACTTACAGAATGGGAGAAAAATATTTGCAAACTACACATCCTATAAAGGTCTAATATCCAGAAGCTATGAGGAATTTAAATAAATCATCCAACAAAAAACAAATAACCCCACTAAAAAATGGGCAAACGAAATGAACAGATACTTCTTGAAAGAAGACTACCAGTGGCCAATAAACATGAAAAAATGCTCATTATCACTAATCATTGGAGAAATACAAATCAAAACCACAACTAGATATCATAACTGTCAGAATGGCTTTTACTAAAAAGTCAAAAAATAATAGGTGTTGGTGAGGTTTTGGAGAAATGGGAACACTTATAGACTATTGTTGGGAATGTAAATTATTTCAGCCAGTGTGAAAAGCTATTTGGAAATGTCTCAAATAACTTAAGACAGATCTATCCTTTGACCCAGCAACTCCATTACTGGTATATTTACCCAAAGGAAAATAAATCATTCTACCAAGAAGGTACATGAGCTTATATGTTCCTCACTACTGTTCACAATATCAAAGACATGAATCAACCTAGGTGCCCACTGATGATGGATTGGATAAAGAAAATGTGGTACATACATACAATGGAATACTACATAGCCATAAAAAAGAACAAAATGTGTCATTTGCAAAAACAATGAATGCAGATGGAGGCTATTCATTTAAGTGAATTAACACAGAAACAGAAAACCAAATACCATATATTCTTACTTAAAGTGAGAGCTAAACATTGATACAGAATATTTTACTCAAAGCAGATGATGTATGAATAATCAGAAATCCAAAAAGCAAGGAACCAACTATGTTTTAGTAGAAATACGGTTCCTATTTTTGGTAGCAAAGACATGCAGCTGGGGTCTAGATCAATTTATTTATTGGTTACGTGCTTTACACAATGTTACATGATTGACAATTTGGAAAGTGGTATCACTTACAAAGCCAGCTGGCACACAGGAGATTGTTACAGAAGATGATTCCCAATTATAGCCAGACACTAACTTGTAAAAAGATTAGATGGTTTTCTTAGTTGCACAAAGCAAGTTCAACCTATTTTTGCATAAATAATTTCATAGAGTAGTGATACATTCTGACAGTAACAACACGTATTTCACAGTGATTAAATATATACATGTAAGTCAATGTGTAGATACACATAATTTATGAGCATTAAATGTGATATAACTAAGAAAATAGGGTCGATTTTTATTAAACATACCAAGACTGATAGATCCAAAATATATGTTTTCCTTGCCTTCACTTACTCTAGAGGAATTATGAACTTAATTCACTTACATTCTTTTTAAAGCCAAAAACAAAATGGTGGTGGTTGTGGGGGAGATAATGATAGATCTGGTGACATTTCTCTAAGCTTCATTTCACAAGCTGTTATTGCTCCATTGGATGATAACAGGGATATTCTACATAGTGCCTTGTTTTGGACACTACACAGAAGTGAGGTGTACTTCTCACACAAAATTTGGTTCAGAAGTCTGTTCTGATGACTCCACACAAACAAGAAGCAAGTATGAAAAGTTTGACTACATTTATAATTAGGCATTTTCTAGAGAGCTGGGCAGGTTTCCATGCCAATCAAAAAATGGTTTCAGGAGAAAAAGAGACTGGCTTAGGGTTTTATGTTGGTTAGGAGATGAACCCAGGTTACAGTTTCTATGCAAGAGGGTCAGGGCTTTCAGAACATAAACTACCTACCAGGGCAAAAGGGAGGGAACACCCAGAGTTTTCCAGATGTGTGGGGGGAGGGGGGTAGAGGAAAAGGGAGGATTTTGAGACTTAACATCTGTCAGTCATCAAATATCAAATATGGTGTAAGTTATTTATTACTTGTTAACTACTAAACTCATGACATAAGCACTATGAAATGGATTTCTTGAACTTGTTATATGCAAACTTATTTTAAAATGCCTATAATGGGAGGTAGTTGTAGCTTTCCCCCAATACATAGAGCCAAGCATGTTTTCCTCATATGTTAAAGTTCTCAGGAAGTACAGATGAAAGTAGAAGAAAAAATGCAGTTTTATCTTGATATACTAGAATCTAAAATTCATAGGGAGTAAAGGTAATAAATTATTTTTAGTATTAAATGTAATCCTAATTTATAAGCCCTGTGATTTTTGACAAGCTCTTTAGCCTAAACTTCAGTTTCCCATCTGATTAAAAACAATAAGCTTATGGTATTGTTTACTTCCCTATATTATTTTGAGCTTCAAATATACATGTAAAGCAATCTGAAAAACATAATGTGCAGTATAAATAAAAATGATGTTATCTTTGCACAATTTTAATGTATATACACATTTGTTATGTGTACATATAATAGTTTTGTTTCCAACATATTTAGTAGAACAAAGAACAACAACAAAAAAGAATAATTTGTTCATTTTGCAGTTACCCTTCCTTTATTTTGTTATCCTTAAATGTAGCCAGCTGAGAAAATGTCCAAAAATATAACAAGTATAAACCTAGACATTCAGTCTACTGGCACAAGGAGAATGACTGAAGCCTAAAGGCGTAGACAAACTCTTTTTGGCTAAGTTACAATGTTCCAAGAAAAAAAGCAGATTTCAAAAAGTAGGCTACCTTTATACATAAACAGTTAACACTACCAATAATTTTGGGGCATAACAGGCTGTTCTGGATTTGTTATTCTAACATTCTAAAGGAGAGAGTTTTTAACTTGAAAAATAAGAAAATTATGTTTACTAATGTCTATTTGAGTGGTTGTATTTTTACATCCTTTAAAACAGGTGGCTGAATATTGTGCAAAGGAGAGATACCGTCTGGGAGCAGCATTATTTCACTCTCAAACGTTCTACTTGTAATTTAAATGGTGCTGTCTATATGAGTCAAGTTACAGGTCAGAAAAATTAACCTCCTATAAAACAACAACATTTATTTTCTAACAAACTTGCTTTCATTTCCAGCTATGTCACTATATTTATGTTAAAAAAAAGGAAAATATTTTTCTGAACTAGTGTTAATCTGTGGAATTACAAAAGATAAACTACAATAGCTGGCAATAGATGTTAAAATAATGTATAATTTCACTGCTAAAATATCAATGTGCATATTTGGAAGTGTTTTTCTTAAAAACAATTTTAGATATTTGGAAGGCTCTATAGCTTAAGGAATATTTATTATAAAATTTTATGTCATAAAATCATTCATTTTCATAAAATTCCCACATAAATAAATACTTGAATAATTATTAATTTGAAAAGTTTACAATGTTATTATCATATGAATGCTGCTTTCATTACATGGATATGGTACACATGAATGTTATTGCAAATGTGCTATGCACTTAAACATTCGGTGAAAATATCAACTCCAACTGCTTATAAATATATATAGTATTCAAATATCTATATATTTATACACTCTACAGTCAGCACATATGCTGAAAGCAACTGAATTGCTGTTGCTAAGCATTTATCTCTATTTTTGAAATTGATTTCCTTTGCAAAAGAGAAATGTGGATCTCACTTGGAGAAAATCTATGCCTTTGGGGCATTTTATAATGAATGGCTTCGCTTTTTCTGTGAAAGTGCTTGTACTATTTTGAGAAATGGATATACACTAGGATGGTTACCAGCAGTTTGCTTTGTTGTAATTTCTGAAAAACAGCTTTTCGTGTTTCTGAGAATAATTGATTTTTAAAAATAGTACTCCCATAGCTGTAGGACTTATTTTATGTTATTTTTCTCATTGCTTTTTAAAATATATGCTTAACTAAATTTTGCAGCAGTAAATATGAATTACACAGTGGTGTTTTTGTTTTTATTTTTAATTTTTATGGAGGCAGGATCTTGTTCTGTCACCCAGGATGGAGTGCAGTGGTGCAATCATAGCTCACATAGCTCATAAATTTCTTTTTCATAGATTAAGCAAAATGTCAAACTCAAGTATTCTCAAATATAATAAAATCTAAAGAATATTCTGATATTAAATCATAAAGAATATTTTAAAGAAAGGCCAAATATGGATAATTCAATTAAAATTATCTGTTTAAACTTTTGGTTGCTTTTTGCATTGTGTACAATATTATTTAAAGGTGTCTTATATGTAAGTGATAAAAACTTTTCTGGAGTTTCCAAAATGGAAATAATATTTTCTATGTGTATATATTATTTACTATTAAGAAAATGAAAGGCTTCACAATTTTAGAAGGAAAATTAGGATGAAAATCCAGAAGGGTTCTATTAAATAAAAATGTTGTTCAGAACCTACAGAAAAGCAGACTATGATCTACAGAGCTGTATCATTTTGCTTCTTCTTACTTAGCATAATTCTGAAATCTTTTAGATTTCCGTGACCTCATGATAGCATGGGAGATTGTCTACCTACATTACTTACTGAAAAGTAGATTTTATTATTTTCTCTTGCCATTATTGACTTTTTTCCCTTTTTTTCTGTTACCATTATAGTTTCACAGAAGATTCACACATAAGTTATTAGCATGTAAGACTAAAACTCAACCCTCTTTAAAAGAAGCCAAACACATTTCAGACTCCTAGCAATGTAAAAATAACAATGTCCAGTGTTCAATCAAGAATTACCAGACAAATAAGGAGGCAGTTATGTGTAATGAGAAAATTTAGTAAAGAACAATAAATCTAGAAATAAAAAAATTATACAATTAACAACAAAAATGCTTATCAATATGTTCAAGATTCTGTCAATTTTTATTTTATTTTCAATCATTTTTCTAATACAAATTTTGGTGGAATGTATTGTGCTATTTGAAATTTATATCCAAAAGACTAATGACTTCTACATAGAAAACTTTGAAAGTTAATGAAAACATTTACAAACTAATATGCCATATAAAATATATGGAATCCTTAAAAAATATATATTTAAAAAGAAAAAAGGATGAACAATAAATTATAGGAATGAAATAACCTTATTAATATTAAACTAAACAGATTAATAATGAGATGATGTTTCCTCCCTATTTGACTTTAAAGAATAAATATTCAGTGAGGACAGGACTCCACGAAAATGAGCAGTCTTACACAAATGGCTATATTGATTCCACAATTCTACAAAATTTATTGGTAGTATATACCAAAGGACATTAAAGTAAACATGTACTTTATATCCATAATATCCATTTTGTGAATCTAAAAATAATAGTAAGCAACAGTTGAAATAAAATAAATTTATTATGAATTGTTTATATTAGTTAATTTGAACTCAAATGGAATGGCCAACATTAAGAAAACCTCTGATCAATCTATAGTATAATATAAAATGATACATGTATACTCTTTAAAAATGTTATGTTATTATAATTCTGAAATGAAATAATTTTAAGTCATCATCACAAAAAAGGGATATTGCTGTTCTGTAACGGCTTATCCAGGACACTCCAAGTTTAGAAGCATAGTTACTTATATAATTTTAAAAAATGTCAAAATAAAAGTATTGGCAGAGGATTGTTTTGCAGTTTTTGAAGTTATGTTTCATTTTAATTTTCACTATTTGCTCATTAGTGTCTCTTTATAATTGAAAAATAGCTATCGGAATTTGTTTAGCAAATAAAACTCACACTAAATTGTTTTAAAATAATTAAAATTGTGGTATCTACATTTCATATTGTAGGAGTTGAAGAAGAAAGAAAAAAACATGAAAAGTGGCTTAACAGTCAGAGACAGGTTTATTTTAAGGAATAAACCTGCGAGGGACTTCTGGCCAAGTTGAGACAGGAGCACTTTCTGTTACAGGCCGAGAGTATTTATGGGTTCAAGGTGCGAGAGCTTTTCACACTTTGTCTTGCTTATCTGAGAGGGAGAGTTTTTGTGTCTGTTACTGTACAACTTCCTGCAGCTGCAGGCATACCCCTGCCCTGAATCTACTTTTAGCTTTCCTATCTTAGTGAACCTAAAGTGAAAGGAATGTGCTTATTAGGGCCCACTGTTTTACTGGGGCCCATTTTTTGAGTGTGAAGATTGGTTCTTCCCGAAGGGACTTTCCCCTCTCCTTCTGTGCTTGAGCTGTCTTACCTTTGTTTCACTGTCTGCTCTTTCTGGCTGCTTGAGGTTAGAAGAGAAGTGATTTTCTTGAAATGCATGAGATTAGAAAGGGATCTGGGACTTAAAATGGGGGCGTTTGTGCAAGATGGTGGTTTTCCTGCTCTGTCACATATTACAATTCATACAATATAATAGTTTCACTGCTTTGTTTAAATCAGTTGTAGCATGCACAAAAGGGAGAACTTTTAACTTGCAAAGAGACCTTAAAAATACTTCAAATTAAACACAAGTTCACATCTAATCCTTCTGGATGTTGCAGACAAATTATTTTTAGTATCTTAAAAATGCTATTTTATTTATTCTTACAAGATATTGCCATAAATATTTTGGCATACTTTTTGAGATTCTAATATTAATAAGTTGAATTTCACTATTTAATTTTATACTTTATTGAAATGAGCTTTTAAATATTGTTGGATAATTCAGTCTTTATTAGCTATTACAGAATGAATCCTTCTTCAGTGTTCTCTAGAAAGTACTTGAGGAATATGAGCATTTGTTAGAAAAAGTTGTTGCTCTATGTTCTAATTATTTTAAGGAATGAGTACCATGTTTGTGAACACTAAATTTAACTTGGAAAGACAAATGTAATTAAAATTTTCTTATGAGATGCTGATAATGATAGTTATGTCAAATCTAATTATTGGGAAGTATTTAGAGATGGAGAGAATGTGACTTGTACACCTTACATTATTGACTCTCACATGCTATATATTTCTAGCATAATGTTTTTTAAAGCTATAGATAAATAAAAGTTTATGTTAAAAGTTAATAGATTTGAAAAGAGAATTTAATAAACAATTCTCTTCTAGGGCTTTAATTATTAATGTCTCTACCTTGATTTTTTTGTTTTTTGAGACGAAGTCTGTTGCCCAGGCTGGAGTGCAGTGGCTCGATCTCAGCTCACTGCAACTTCTGCCTCCCAGGTTCAAGCAATTCTCCTGCCCCAGCAGCCTCCCAAGTAGCTGGGACTACAGGTCCACACCACCACACCCCAGCTAATTTTTTTATTGTTTGTAGAAACGGGGTTTTACTATGTTGTCCAGGCTGGTCTTCAACTCCTGACCTCAAGCTTTCCTCATGCCTAGGCCTCCCAAAGTGCTGTGATTAGAGGCATGAGCCACTGCTCCCAGCCTAAACATTTTTATAGTTAATATCTACAGTAAACATTAAAATCAATCTCAATATATGTTATTTGAGCAAATGGTAATAATATGCCTTTTTTTCAATTTGATGAAATGCATGTTAGATGTGATTAAAAACACCAATGGGTATAAAATATTTATATATAAAATATTTAAATTTATATCTGCTAGAGGAAAGGCAGAAGTGCAAGCTTGCTGGCATAGAACGTTCACGGTTCTTTGCATAACAACTCTGATTTTAGTTATCAAAAATATGGTACTGAAGCCAGAGTGAAGAGTGCTAAATAAAAATAATTTAGAAGAAAGAAAAATTATGACTTGAAAGGTAGGAGAAATGAAAAAAATATATGTAGGATAATATTAGATGGAATCCTAACTTCCTAAAGATAATAAAAAAGAAATATATGAAAAGTTGTATATTATTTATAATTTATTACTATTTAGATTTAAAATTCTATTCTGAAATCAGCTGGGTTTTAATATTACTGAAAAATCAATCAAAACCAAGTTTTCATATAAACCTACAACTCCAAATGTTAGGTGTTTTAATCTCGTGTTTAGAGTAGCCTTCTTAATCTTTGTGGGAGTATAGACGCTCTACAGCAGAGAAGACAAGTGCAATGTTACATACGCCAAACCATTATTAAGCCAAGTCACTATTTAATCATTACTTAAAATGTTCCAAAAGGAAGATTGAGATGTCTCTGATTTTTCAGTGAGTAATCGTTATGACTCTTTTGTTTTCTAGCATGGGTTATACAATAAGTTAAATAAATGTATTTCTTCTCTTTGATCAATTTTTAAAAAATCTTAACATTATAAACATTACCTAATGTCAATATTAATTAAGAATCTACTTTTAGAGATTTATAGTGGAAACCTAAAATTATGTTCTACAGTAAAATTTAAACATCCCAACTTATTTGACATATATATTTTAAACATAATGTAGCATTCCATGGCACAATTGTTTATTTCTGATATATAACATGACACTTGAATATATATTCCTTAATATATGTAAATATAGAGAAGTTATCTAAGATATCCTGTTATTTAACAACTTTTAAGTGATGCTTATAAAATAATATCTACCTTTAATTACTTAATTTATATACATATTTTTTAAAAATTTTATATTATATTTAATATCAGGTTTTGACTCAAATTTTTTATATTTCTATTTTCCTTTGATCTTAGACTCATTTTGTGAGTCAGATGGTCCAGAGGAGATTTGGCCCTGTAAATAGGGATTTGGCCATTTGATGAGTGTTCTCAATACCCATATGAAAAGTTTGGTGGAGAGTCTTAAGTATTTTCCACTGGCTGGCTTTGGGTATGAGTATCTTTCCCTCTTCTGTCATTAACCACCCCAAGGGGAGAAAACTATGCCCCTGTGAAAGTCCCCATTCTGTTTCAGTCAGGGAATACTGGGGCTTAATCTCTTGGAGGGGGTTGTTCCATACCAAGGGTCCTTCCATAGGTATTTCTAAGGGGAGGTTCCTCCTGGCAGCAATTTTGGCTTCAGCGTCTGCCTGATGGTTTCCTTCTGCCTTTTCTCCTTCACCTTTTTGAGGCTTTGGCAGCGTAAGACAGCCACCTCTTTGGGTTTTTGCACTGTGTGCAATAACTTCATGATTTCCTTGTGGTATTTAATGGGGGTTCCCCCAGAGGTTAGGAACTCCCTTTCTTTCCACATTGCAGCATGGGCACATAGGATTAAATAAGCATACTTGCTATATGTATACACATTTATTCTTTTTCCCTTTCCCAGTTCTAAGGCTCGGGTAAGTGCCACTAGTTCTGCTAACTGAGTGCTGGTCCCTGGGGGAAGAGACTTACTTTCCAGTACTGTTACATCACTAACTATGGCATAACCTGCCCTTTGTGTCCCATTCTCCACAAATCGACTTCTGTCAGCATATAGGTTAAGGGCAGGATTAGCTAAGGGGACTTCTAAGAGATCCTCTTGGGTGGCATAAGTCTGGGCTACAATTTGTTGGCAGTCATACTCAATTGGTTCCCCATCCTCTGGGAGAAAAGTGGCGGGGTCGAGGGCTGCACATGTGCATATCTGAAGCACCGGTCCCTCTAGAAGTAGCACCTGGTATCTAAGCAGGCAGTTGTCTGATAGCCATAAATTTCCTTTGGCACTTACTATGCCATTAACATAATGAGTGGTCCAGACAGTGAGATCCTTTCCTTGTATTATTTTGATAGTCTCTGATACTAAGATGGCCACCACTGCAATTACCTGTAAACAGTGAGGCCAGCCTTTTGCTACTACATCAATTTCCTTACTTAGGTATGCCACAGGTTGTGGGGTTGTCCCACGAGTCTGAGTAAGGACTCCAAGAGCTATTCCCACTCTCTCTCTGTGACATATAAAGATAAGTTCTGTCTTGTGGGAAGGCTTAAGGCTGGAGCTTGTACTAGGGCCTGCTTTAAGGTTTTGAAGACTGTTTCTGCCTCTGGTTCCCATTCTACTAGATAAGTATCTGCCATCTGGGTCTCCTTGATTAGAGTATAGAGTGGCCTGGCCTTCTCGCTGTATCCAGGGATCCATAGTCGGCAAAAGCCAGTGATTCCAAGGAACCCCTGCAACTGTTTTAATGTCTTAGGGTAAGGATAACCCAGTATAGGCTGTATTTGTTCCTTGTTGAGGGCCCTGGTTCCTCTGGCTAAGATTAGGCCTAGATATTTGACTTGTTGTAGGCAGAGCTGGGCCTTTGATTTAGATGCAGTTTACCCTTGATTAGCTAGAAAGTTAAAGAGATCTAGTGTAGCCTGCTGGCATGAGGCTTCTGAACTGGTAGCCAAATGTAAATCATCCACATACTGAAGGACCAGAGTGCCTGAACTTGAGAAGTGGCCTAGATCTTGAGCCAGTGCCTGACCAAACAGATGTGAGCTATCCCTAAAACCTTGAGGCAAGACTGTCCACATAAGTTGGGCCGTGTGGTCTGCAGGATCCCTCAAAGGCAAAGAGAAACTGGGAGTCAGAGTGCAGGGGAATGCAGAAAAAGGCATCCTTGAGGTCCAGAACAGTGAACCATTCTGCTTCCTCTGGTATTTGAGAGAGCAGGATATAGGGGTTGGGTATAACTGGATATAGAGTAATTACTGACTCATTGATGAGTCTAAGATCTTTCACTGGTCAGTTTTTGTACTCCTGGAATTGGGGTGTTGCAGGGACTGCTGCATTTTCTTACTAAGCCTCGAGCTTTTAAATGTCTCACAATGTCCTGTAATCTTAAGTGAGCTTCAGGCCTTAAGGGATATTGCCTTTGATAAGGAAAAGTGGTGGGGTCTTTTAGCCTGATTTGGACTGGGCAGGCATTTTTTGTCCTTCCAAATTGTCCTTCCAATGCCCAGACTTCAGAGTTGATTCCCTCCTCAAGTAGGGAACAACTAATGGTTAACTTGTTCCCTATATTCATATAGATAATAGCTCCAGCTTTGGCTAATACATCCATCCCTAATAAAGATGTGGGGCTTTCAGGCATAACAAGAAAGGCATGTGAAAAGAGCAAAGTCTCCCAATTACAACTGAGGAGGTGGGAGAAATACCTGGTTACAGGCTGTCCCAGGATTCCTCAGATGGAAACGGACCTTGAGGACAGCTGTCTGGGACAGGAGATTAACACTGAGAAAGCCACACCAGTGTCCAGAAGGAAGTCAATTTCCTGGACTTTGATGGTTAAACTTACCCAGGGCTCAGTGAGGGTGACGACATGAGCTGGCACTTGCCCCGGGCACCCTCAGTCCTGTTGTTGGATCATCTGGTTGGGGGCTTCTGGCCCAGAGAAGCTTTGTCCTCTGGGGCAGTGTGCCTTCTAGTGATTGCCTTGGCATAGTGGACATGGGCGAGAGGGTGGCTTGTTTCTTGTTGGACAATCTTTTTTAAGGTGTCCTTGCAAACCACACTGATAACAAGCCCTACTGGGTGATTGGCCTGTTCCATTTTCTGTCCTCTCTGAACTGCCAAGGTTTGTTTGCCTGAGGGCCATGACTAAGGCTGTGGCCTTTCTCTTACCTCGCTTTTCCTTTTCAGCCTGTTCCTCTTGGTCCCTATTATAGAACACCGAGGTTGCCAGGTTTAATAATGCCTCCAAATTTTGTTTAGGGCCCAGGGCTCACTTTTGGAGCTTTCTCCTGATATCTGTGGCTGACTGGGTAATACATTTATCTTTTAGGATCAATTGACCCTCGAGGGAGTCAGGTGACAGGGGAGTATATTTTCTTAAGGCCTCCCGTAGCTGCTTGAGGAAGGCAGAAAGATTTTCTTCCTTTCCCAGAGATATGGTGGACATCATTGAATAATTCACGTCTTTTTCCTAATTCTCCTTAGTCCTTCTAGAACACAGGACAGCAGATGCTTATGACTCTGGTCCCCATGATCTGAGTCAAGGTCCCAGTGGGGATCCATACTGGTGATGGCTTGCTAACGGGTCGGGAATTTGTCCCTTTCTTCAGCTGTCATTATATCATTTACTTGACTAAGATACAAAGTATCTCCAAACTCTCAGGCTGCAGCTAAAGCTGCATTCTTTTCATTAAAGTCTGGGGTTTGATCTAACAATAGCATGACATCTCTCCAAGTGAGGTAGAAGGTTTGCCCTAGACACTATAGGACATCTATAGACCTATCAGGATCATCTGAAAATTTCCCCAGGTCTACCTTTATCTGCTTTAAATCAGAGAGGGAGAAGGGGAAATGTACCTGGGTTGGGCCAAATTCCCCTCCCCCTACAGCTTGAAGGGGACATAATCGATAGCCCGGGGGGGAGGGTGTGGTCCTTTGGAGATTTCTTCGCTTGTTTCCTTCTGGGTAGGGGAGATTAGAGGAGGCTTATCATTAATCGGAAGGGGAGCTGTAGGAAGGCTAGGATATGGGGGTAAGCCGAGAGGTCCTCCTGTGGAATGTAAATTTCAAGCTTTGCATAGTTGTGGATTATCCTTCAGTGGAAAAAAAGCTTGGACATAAGGTATTTCACTCCATTTGCCTTCCCTCTTACAGAAAAGGTCAAGCTGCAGGATAGTATTATAATTTATACTTCCCTCAGGTGGCCATTTTTCCCCATCAGAGAGATTATTGGGGCCAGGCTGTAGTGCAGAAAAAAAATAAGCCTCTTCTTTTTCAGCGTTTGCAGGTCAAATTGGTCCCAATGGCTTAGGATGCATTTCAAGGGTGAGCCTGTTGATGCCTGAGTGTTTACCACGTAAAAGAAAAAAAAGCCTTTTTTTTTTCCCTGCCCAAGAGCCCGCAATGGTCCCTGGACCCTGCTGTTCAGAATAGTTGCGCTCACTGAAGCAGCAGCAGAAACACTAGATTTCCTCCTAGACCACAAAGAGGACCAAGGAAGGTCGGATTTAGTGGCCCTTACTGACACATTCTCGAAAACCGGCACCCTTGCCTTTCCTCTTAGACCATAAAGAGGACCGAGAAAAATCGGATTTAGTGGCCCTTACCGACGCATTCTCAAAAACCTGTTAGAGGCCTAAGCATTCTCCTGTTAGTATTGGGACCTTACCCTGGTCCTATAAAGATGATTTGCCTCAAAATGGAGTGGAGGGCCATACCCTGAGGGAGGGAAGGGATCTCCAGGGTTGGAAAAGTGACACCTTTTGTCCTCACTTCTCATCATATGCATAGGAAGGATATAATATCTGAGGCTCCCCATATCCTAGCTTTGGGAATAACCTTTGTTAGGCCTGCTAGTCTGAGAAGGGATCTTAAAAGGATAGATGGTCCCCCCTCCCACCCCTGCTGCGATGGGGCTTTGGGCAAAAATTATGTCTTTCTGATTGGTGAGCCTGGGTGCCTAAAGAAAGGAACAGAGTCCTGAAATTTATATAGAAATCATTCTTATAGGAGAAACTAGAAGAGCACCAGGGACAGGGAGTGGCTTTTAGAAGTGGGACTAGCCTCGGAGAAGAGAGGCAGGAGGAAGTTTGTCTGACAAACATTAGGACCCAGGAGGCAAGGGTCAGGATAGATAAGACAGATGGGTGAGTCTCGCTTGGGCAACGTAACTTGGAGAGTTCTGCTCATGGCTGCAGGGTCAACCAACTTTTTGTTGGGACCCCAGAGCTGAATGGCTTTCATCTCTGCCAACCCTCGGCTCAGCCTGGAAGTACAGGAAAAGCAGAAGCTGGTTCTAGGCAAATCAGCACTCACAACTCGGAAGAGTCGGGGGTTGTCAGAGAGCACTTTCCCAGAAAGCCTTACACCCATGTCTTTAGTCCAGCAGCTGTGCTAGTCGCTTTTAACTGGCCAACAGGAGCCCGGTGTTTAGCCCCCAAATTCTAAGGAAAAATAGGACACAATAGCAAGCCAAAGGGGTCCGATGGTACTCACCACGTGGTGATATACCAGACAAGCCCCCAAAATGTCCAGAGTTGGTTCCTTCTGGTGGGATTGTGGTCTCGCTGACTTCAAGAATGAAGCTGTGGACCTTCACGATGAGTGTTACAGCCCTTAAAGATGGCACGGAGCCAAAGAGTGAGCAGTAGCAAGGTTTATTGTGAAGAGCAAAAGAACAAAGCTTCCACAGTGTGGAGGGGGACATGAGTGAATTGCCACTGCTGGCTGGGTGGCCAACTTTTATTCCCTTATTTGTCCCCTCCCATTTTCCATTTCTGTCCTATCAGAGTGCCCTTTTTTTAATCCTCCCTGTGACTGGTTACTTTTAGACTCCTGCTGTTTGGTGCATTTTACAGAGCACTGATTGGTGCATTTTACAATTCTCTTGCTAGGTACAGAGTGCTGATTGATGTGTTTTTACAGAGTGCTGATTGGTGCATTTTACAATCCTCTTGCTAGCTACAGAACACTGATTGGTGCATTTTAGAATCCTCTTGTAAGACAAAAAAGTTCTCCAAGTCCCCATTCGACACAGGAAGTCCAGCTGGCTTCACCTTTCAAAGTTATCTATATACATTAATCTAACTAGTTTATTAGGACTATGAGCTAATAGAGCAAGTGGGACTGAGTGATTAATGTTGTTATGATAAACTGAAACAAAATTACTACTCAAACCTTGAAAAAAAATATGTATTTTTACGTCAGATTTTTGGCTAAAATGTCAAGCTCCTACCTTGACTAGAAAACTGTGTTTATTGTTGAAAATACATAAATTTAAAATATGTAAGTCAATAAAATATTTATAGTGATTTAAATTAATTCAACATTATTTTACATAATACCATGTTAGCCAGAATTAAACATATTAAATAGCATCCAGACACATTGTTCTGAATACAACTTTAATAAAAACCTTTAAGCATCATAGGTTTTCACAAAGCTTAATTTAGAAGTTCTTATTAATAAATTTTGTTACATGTTCAGAAGACAAATCAGATATGTTGGAGCACTTTGCAATTTCTTACATAACATTTTAGATGTATACTGCAAATTATTCTCTAACTAGGTAAACAAAATCTCAAGATCATAACACTCACTGTTAGCTGGTCAATTTCCTCAATTGAATTTTGAAAGTTTGAATTTCCACTACTATCAAATTCTGAGAATACAGAGAATAGTTTTATAAAAGAATGCTAAAAACTAAATATTATGGCACAGACAAGTAGAAAAACCATAGTACTTTTCATATGGAAGTAGTTGGAAAATTAGGGCATCTTTAATAAATGTAAATGAGAAAATTCACTGGACCTTATAAGAATGAAATAAAATACTTTGATGAAAATAACTCACATAAACTTTGTATGAAAAATGATGATAGTAATTGTGATCATAGTAGAGAATTACTTAAAATATACATATATATAATCATTGGGATAATGATGATGACATTTGAAAAATGTTCTCTCATAAAATTCTATACACATTCTTCAATATTTTTTGTCATAGCCATTTAAATCCAAAAATCAAGTCCATTTCAGAATCATCTACTAGTGCATTTTGTTGTTCATCTAGATGGTTTTTGTGCTGACCCGCTATTGACTCCAATGGGGATGGCACCAGGTTCAAGAGGCTGAAGAGAAGACTCCAAGCTAATAAATGATACATGGGGTTTTATTGGGGGCTTACCTGCAGAGGAGAGAGTCCAGTTCAGCAGTGAGCTGAACAGAAGAACCAATATACATACAAATCACTGGTGATGGGCTGGACAGCATATCTGCATGGCTCAGTGGCAGCAGGCTGGGCAGGAGAACCACAACTTCTGCAAAGGACATACAGTCTACATAGCATTTTCACTTAACACCATTTCCCTAACAACTTCCACCTGGCAGCCTTTATTCAACCCGAAAGTCAAGGCCTGGATCCCCTGTACAGCTTTTGTTCTATGGCATAGGACAAGGGCTTAGATGTTTATCATAGACAAGGAATAAATCTTCAGGTTGGCCACTCCTGGATTCCTTAACTCAGAACACACATTCAGATACATATGCCATACAGGGTCTTTCTCAGGGTATACTTAAGTTATTGCTATCAGGGGCATTTGCCATACAATAGTACCTGAATTTAATAGTTTAGAATTTTTTTAAATCATATTTAATTGGGCTTATCTTGTTTAAAAAACTCTATCATAATTGGCATCTTGAATAATAATGACACACACATTGAGAGAGAGCCATAAACCAAATTCTCAATCAATATGAAATAGCAGAGAGAATGATTTACAATCTTCTTTAATTTTAAACTTGAGATATTACAATTGTTTAGCCATTCACTTATCACTTATTTTGGTGATTTTCTGACAATAAGGAAAACTTGATTATGATGCATTTTATATTCTGCCTAATTTATCTACTCACCACTGCTCATTTGGATTATTACAATAAAACTCTCGCTTTTGTTGACACACTCTAATACTGCTATCATTGTAATATTTGAATACAGCCAGTGAAAATGTGAGTACCAGAAGTAGGCTGCTTCCTGCTCAAACATGTATTGAGCTTGGACGTTGTCATTCTCAAACATGATAAGAAAAAAGTTGAACAAACTAGAACTCAAAAACTATTTATATATCATCAGAGAATTGAGTGTACAGGGAAAATTAAACTAATGCCCCAAAAACTCAAAATAGGAGAATATAGAAAATCACAGCATAGAAAAGTAAAAGTCACTTGGGTCTACTCCTAACTGGCAAAAAGGCTTCAAACAGTAATTGATTAATTACTAGAGACTTAGCATAAATTAGTTTGAAAGTTTAAAACTCTTGAGGAGCTAGTCATAGAGATGCTCCCACATTTTGATTAGTTTTATATTCAAGAGACCATCAGGTTTTCAGAGTGATTATTAGAAAAAAATGTTTGCTTCTACTTTTGACAGGGTAAGGATAAAAGTAACCATTTTGAAATATGCCCAGAGAATTCTGCTCTCAGTAGCAAAGTCCTTGCCCTCAGCAGAAACTCCTTTACCTGAACCTTCCATAGTGCAAGGGAATGGCAATTATACAATTTGCTCAAGTTTATAATTCATGTAACACAAATAGGAATGAAAAAGTACTAGAAGAAGCTCCTCAAGGTCACAACCCAGCCATTCTTGCCCACTAAAAAAACCCTTAAGGTTTAATAATAAGAATGCTTTCCCTCCCCAATATTTTACCACCTGTAACTGATGCATTATGTCCATCTTTCAACAAAAAGTGACAGGTCATGCTAAAAGCTAAGAAAAACAGTCTAAAGAGCAAAGCAAGCATTATAACCCGACTCAGATATGGCAGAGGTTTTGGAATTGTCAAACAAGAAATTAAGATAATATGCAGTGTACTCTAATGTAAACAGTGGACATTTAAGAACAGATGTACAATGTAAGCAGAGAGAGAGAATTGCTAAGAATAAATTTAAAAGAATGCTAGAAGTTAAAAACACTGTACAATATAAAGATTGACTTTGATTGTCTCATCAATAGATTAAATACATTTGAGAAGGTATTAGTGATCTTAATATGTCAGTAAAATTTTCTACACTGAAAAGAGAAAAATAACAATGAAGAATAGAATGCAGGATAGCCCAGAAGTTTTGGACAATTATGAAATATACAACTTAATGGAGAGATAAACATAATGAAAATTCCAGAAGGAGAAGAAAGAAAGCAGTAGAAATATTTGCAGTAATTATGACTGAGAATTTTCTAAAATTATTGACAAACACTAAACCATGAATTCAGGAAACTCAGAATATACAAAGCGGGAATAAGTATCAAAAAAGAAAAATCTAGGCAGATCATATTCAAACTGCAGAAAATCAAAGACAGAAAAATCTTAAAAGAAGCAAGTGGTGAGAAAAACCCTTATAGAGGAACAAGGTTAATATTTACATCGGAATTATCTTCAGAAACCATGCAGGCAAAAAGAAAGTAGAATGAAATATTTAAAGTGCTTAAAGAAACAATAAGCACCAACTTAGAATTTTGTATTCAGTGAAATTATTCTTCACAAGGGAAGGAGAAGAAAAACATTTCTCAGACAACAACCAAAAAAAATGGAAACATTTGCTGCCAGTAGACTTACCTTCCAAGAGATTTTAAAACAATTTCTTCACAGTGAAGGAAAATAATATACGTCAGAAACTTGGGCCCACATAAACTAAGCAGAGCATTAGAGAAGGAATATAAGTAAGATAAAATCTTTTATATTTCTTGTTTATAATTATTTTAATAGATAATTTTTCAAAACAATAATAATGTATTAGGTGAATACAACTTATAAATAAGTGAAATGAATGGTATCAATTGTATACAGAATGGGAGGAAGAAATTGTGAATGTACTACCTGTTAAGTAATGCACTATTATTGAAATGTGTTTAGTTGTAAATGTATATTGCAAACTCTAGAGCAATCACTAAAAATTTTTTAAAGAAGCATAATTGATGCGCTAAAAGAGGAAAGAAAAGGGAATCATATAAAATACTCAAATAGGCCGGGTGTGTTGGCTCATGCCTGTAGTTACAGCATTTTGGGGGGCCAAGGCAGGAAAATCACTTGAGGTCAGGAATTCTAGACCAGCCTGGCCAACATGGTGAAACCCCATCTTCACTAAAAATACAAAGGAAATTAGCCAGGAATGGAGGTTTGTGCCTGTAATTCCAGCTGTTTGGGAGGCTGAGGCACAAGAAACAAGGAACCCGGGAGACAGAGGTTGCAGTGATCTGAGATCGCACCACTGCACTCCAGCTTGGGTAACGGAGTGACACTGTCTCCAAAAAATAAAAATAAAATAAAACACTCATAGATACAGAGAGAAATGCATCCAAAGTGAAGATTTAAAAAAGAACAATGGGTAGAGAATAGTTACTAACTTAGTAGATAGTAACTCAACAAACCAATACTCGCCTTAAATGTAAAGGGTCTAAATTTACCCATTGCAAAACAGAGATTGAGAGTGAGAAAAAAAGAAGACCTAATTATATGTTGTTTAGAAGACAAAGACTTTTAATATAAAGACACAGATAGCATAAAAGCTAAGAGATGGATAAATATATACCATGGTAACCGTAATCATAAGAAAATTGAAGTAGCTATATTAAGTTTGAACAAACCAGGCAGGTTTAAGGCAAAGCGAAATTATTGGGGATAAAAGAGGACTTTACATAATTTTAGTGGGGTCTCTTATCCAAGACACACTAAACCTTAATATGCATGCATCTAAAAACAACAGACCATCAAAAGATGTGAGGCAAAAATTTATAGAACGCCCTATAGGCTAAATTATGTCCCCTTGACATTCGTATGTTGAAGTGCTAACGTCTACAAGTCCTCAGAATGTAACTATATTCGAAGAAAGAATCTTTAAATAGGCCATTTTAAGTTAAGATCTGGTCATTATGTTGGACCTTAACCCCAATATATCTTGGGTTCTATGAAGAGGATATTAGAACACAGATACACACAAGAGGAAACAACATATGAACTCACAAGGACATGATGGCTACCTGAAAAAGCCAAGGAAAAAGGCTTCAGAAGATACTAACCCTGCCAACACCTGATCCTAGCCTTCTAGCCTTCAGAATTGTGAGAAAATAAATTTTTGTTTTTTAAGCCACCCGGTCTGTGGTATTTTTTTATGTTACCCCTAGCAAGCTAATATAAGCTAAAAGAAGGTATAGTTAAATGCAGTTTTGTAGTCAGAGACTTCAAAATCTTTATGTCAGTAATTGATAGATTCAGCAAACCAAATATCAGTAAGATTGTATTTGAAATAAACAGAACCATCAACTAGGAGTAACGGACATTTATAGAGCACTTTATCTAACAACAATACACATTCTTCAGAAGCTGTCTTGGAACACTGACCAAGAGAAACCCATTCAAACTTAAAAACACAGAAATTATACAAAAATGTTGTCTAGCCACCATGGAATTAAACTAGAACTGAATAAAAGAAATTTAGCTGGAGGCCGGGCGCCATGGCTCACGCCTGTAACCTCACCACTTTGAGAGGCAGAAGCGGGTGGATCACGAGGTCAGGAGATCGAGACCATCCTGGCTAACATGGTGAAACTCCGTCTCTACTAAAAATACAAAAAATTAGCTGGGTGTGGTGGTGGGCGCCTGTAGTCCCAGCTACTCAGGAGGCTGAGGCTGGAGAATGGCCTGAACCCAGGAGGCGGATCTTGCAGTGAGCCAAGATTGTGCCACTGCACTCCAGCCTGGGCAAGACAGTGAGACACCACCTCAAAAAAAAAAAAAAAAAGAAAAGAAAAAAAAACAAGAAATACAGCTGGAAAATCTCCAAACACCTCTGGATTAATCAAAACATTTCTAAACAACATAACAACATATGGGTAAAAAAAAGTCTTAAAAGAAATTAAGAAATAGGCAGTTCTGGTCAAAATTACCAGTTTTGCCAAGCGTGGCACAGATCATCTGTTTACATCACTGGTTCCTTAATTTCCATTTTTAAAGAATAGAGATGACAATATTTTGTGTTTGCGATTGATGAAATAATTAGAGATTTTGAAATTAAGTTAAACTTTCAGTTTTACTGAGATACCTGATCAACCGGGGGTTTTATTAATACAGCACGTTACACATATTATGTTACTTATTCTTTTACAGGACTAGATCTTTATGAAAGCCTGCGAACTTTATCAGTGTAAAGATTGTGACATTCATTTTTGTAATTCTAGTAAGTAACTGTGTTCAAAATAGGGTAGGCATTTTATAAATGTCAAGGGGATGTTAATGAATAAATTAATAACCTTTTTTCTCTAAATGAAGTTACTTAAAAAGTATGATAATCTTAAAAAAAGTTATTTGAGTTTCTGCTAAGCACCACAATATGACAATAGAAGTCATTAATTATCAAATTTACTAACATAATAAACCCTGCTAGTTTCAACTATCCATTCACTCATGCAGTATTTTAGACACTGGGGGATAGAGTGAACAAAATACTGAAGCTCTCATAGAGTTTATATTCTCTTATATAGGGAGACACAGAACTAATAACTCCCTAAATAGCTTAGAGTTAGGTGGTGTCAAGTGCTATGGAAATGTTACTGTTTAAGAATATTCTTGCCTTATCATTAGACTGAGGTTATCTATTGTATACGGTTAAATAATACTGCATACCTTTCTCCTTTATTCTAACTTAAGTTAAATTTTTATTGGTGTAATTATTTTAATTAGGTCTGTCTCACCCACTAGACTGTGTACTCCAGGAAAGTAGAAATCAATAATTCACTTTATTTCATTATTTATGCTTATTACCTAGCAGTGCCTCTCACATAACAACAACCCAAGAAACATTCATTCAATAATGAGTAAATGAATACATTAATGCTTGAATTAGTAACTTTATTTAATTCTCAACTCTGTGAGCTCAGAATAATTAATAAAGGAATGCATATGATAAAACTAAAACTAACAACCATTAAACAACTTGTTCAAAGCATTTGCATGACAGGAGTAACAACAACAACAACAAAAAACTTGGCTTTTTTGCATATAAATACAATTCATTTCATTCCATACCACACAGATTCGCTGTGTGGAATATATATCAAAATATAAATCAAGTTATTGCAAACTATGTATAATATATTATAAACAGTAGAAGAATAACAATAAACTGCCTTAAAAACCACTGCTATGATAAGAGCATAACATAATATCAGGATTATCCCTAAATGGCTTGTTACCATAGTATGGCCTAAAGTTCATTCTGCTGAGTATTAGTTTTCATGATAGATTAGTGGGGTAAAGTCATTTCCATTCTTAAGAAAATGTCTGTCTGGCTGAGGTGGCTCATGTCTGTGATCCTAGCACTTTGGGAGGCAGAGGTGGGAGGACTGCTTGATTCCAGGAGTCCCAGACAAGCCTAGGCAACATTGTGAGGCCTTGTAACTACAAAAAATAAATTTAAGAAATCATCCAGGTGCAGTTGGTGCACACCTGTAGTCCAAGCTACTTGGGAGGTGGAGGTGGAGAGATTGCTTGAGCTCAGCAGATAGAGGCTGTGGTGACCCATGATTGCACCACTGCACTCCAGCCTGGGTGAGGTAAGACCCTGTCTCAAAAGAAAAGAAGAAAGGAAGGAAGGGAGAGAGGAGGTGGCAGAGGAAGGAATGAAGGAAAGAACAGAATGGGGGAGGGAGGAAGGAGGGAGAAAATATCTGTACAATGAAATTTGAATATGTAATAACTCAGGACTATTGGAGACTAAAGTGACAGTTCAAGTGATACGATCTTAATCATATAAATATGTTTGAAAATACAATTGATCCTTGAACAGCATGGATTTGAACTGCATGGGTTCACTTATATACAGATGTTTCAATAAATATATTGGAAAATTTTGGGGAAATTTGTGACAATTTGAAAAAACCCAGGCAAACCATGTACCCTACAAACATTTAAAAAATTTAAAACATTATTTGTGTCATAAACGCATAAAATGCAGGTAGACCCTAGTCTATTTTGTTTTTGTTTTTGTTTTGTTTTGTTTTTGAGATAATGTCTCACACTCTGTTGCCAGGCTGGAGTGCAGTAGAGCAATCTCAGCTCACTGCAACCTCCATCTCCCAGGTTCAAGTGATTCTCCTGCCTCAGCCTCCCGAGTAGCTGGGATTAGAGGCATGCGCCACCACGCCCAGCTAATTTTTGTATTTCTAGTAGAGATGGGGTTTCATCATGTTAGTCAGGATGGTCTCAATCTCTTGACCTCGTGATCTGCCCACCTCGACCTCCCAAAGTGCTGGGATTACAGGAGTGAGCGACTGCGCCTGGCTGACACTAATCTATTTTATAATTTACTACCATAAGATACACATAAATCTAATATAAAAATTTTAAAACTTATCAAAACAGTCACACAAAACACTTAGAAATAGCACATTGTGCATTTTTCAGTGGAGAGAAATATAAACAAACATAAAGATGCAATATTAAATCATAATACATAAAATTAACCATAGTACATACTGTAATAATCTTGTTGCCATTTTCTGTTGCTATTGGGGCAAACTGAAATTTTGTGAGTTCACCTTGTGACTCTAATAATCTCTGAGTGAGTAGCTCATCTCTTCAATAAATTGCATATAATAGTAAAAAGTGATCTTTTGAGGTTTTCATATATTTTTCTTCAAGTCAGTGCAATACTGTTAACCTTGAATAACACCATGGACCCATACAAAGTACCACTAGTGATACTGAAAGTGCTCCTAAGAAGCAAAATTATGACAATGTAAGAAAAAGTTGATTTGCTTGAAATCTACCATAAATTGATGGCTGCAGCTTTAGTTGCTTGCCATTTCAAGATAAATTAATCCAGCCTAGGGACCATTGTAAGAAAAGAAAAAAGAAATGTGTGAAGCCATTGCAGTAGGTACACTAGTAGATGCAAAATCTTGCACATTTGTGAAATCCCCTTTTACCTCTTATTGAAAATAAAAAATGTATACCTATAGATTCTAATTTAATAGATAATACAAGAAAAAGGAAGTCATTATATGAAAATTTGAAGTAAAAAAAAAAGACAGCATGAAGGATCTAAAGCTGGATAATTTAATGCAAGCAAAGGACGGTTTGATAATTTTAGAAAGATGTTAGACTTTAAAATAAATATCAAAATAACAGGAAAAGCAGCTTCTGGTGATCAAGAGGCAACAGACAAGTTCCAAGATGACATTAAGAAAATCATTGAGAAAACAGATATCCACATTAGCAAAATTTTAACAAAGATAAAAGTGCCCTCTATTAAAAAAAATTCACAAAGGACATTAATTAGTTAGGAAGGAAGAGAAGTAAGCACCAAGATTTAAGGCAGAAAGGAATAGGCTAATTCTACTATTTTTGAAACAGGCCAAATTTTCCCATAGACTTGATATTTATGGCTATTTTGAATAAACATAGAAATAGACCCTCTGGGTCTTGAAGCTTAAGAAACATACATTTGTCTTATCTCAGTTTCTTTTTCAGGAAACTGGCCATCCAGCCCCCCAGATAGTATAAGTGTGCTGAAACTTTCCAGAACACCACATCCAGACAGTGAGATGCCAGACTCCTCATCTGATTACCCACTCCCTGTTGACCAACCTCTTGGTTGTTCAAGGTCAACACTCCCTGTTGACCTTCCTTGCCTCTCCCTAATTCCTGTTTTCCGGCATGTGGTTACAATAAGACAGCAGACCCCCCATCTGACCACCTTCTGCCTTTAGACCAACTCCTATATGAACTTCAGTGGGTTTGGGAGACAGGTCAGAAACTTGGCTGGTGTCACTCACATTACAGCCTTTTTTCCTGGCAATATGTGCTATGTCAGTGATTGAAATTCAGTGCAACATGCAACTGGACCTAGGCGAAAGGCCTGGCATTCAGCAATATTTTGTGCAAATTATACAGTTTGGTATATAATTAGAACTGCCCATATAATTACAGCTACTAACCCCTGAAACTTGGGAAAAGATAAACAACAACTGCTAGACTTTGGGTTGTACAACAAAAGCCTGGAAAATGGGAACATTTTTACTGAATCGGTTCCTGCCATGCTTTGTCCCTGAAGTCAGGAAGCACCTTGCCAGGAAAGGACTTGCCTTTTAAAGTTCTTCTGATATTGAACAATGCACCTGGTCACATAGCACCCCTTGAGTTTAACACTCAAGGTGTCAAAGTTGCCTGCTTGTCCCCAGACACAATGTCTCTAATGCAGTCTCTGAATGAGAACATCGTAAGGACTTTTAAGGCTCATTATACACAGTATTATATAGAAATAAGTACCAAACTACGGAAGCAAACCTTGAAAGAATATCATGAAAGTCTGGAAAAATTAACACCATTGAAGATACCATAGCTGTTATAGAAAAAACCATGAAGTCCATTAAACTTGAAACAACAAATTCCTGCTGGAGAAAACTGTGTCCATATATTGTCCATGACTTCACAGAATTTATGACCTAAGCCAATCAAGGAAGTCAGGAACGAGATTAATGGATATGGCTGAAAAGGTGTGGGGAGAAGGGTCTCAAGATAAGAATCTTGGAGAAATTAAAGAGCTAATAGACTCTGTACCAGAGGAATTAGTAGAAGCTGTCTTCTTCCCCTTCCACCATGATTGTGATTTTCCTGAGTCCTTCCCAACCATGCAGAACTGTGAGTCAATTAAGCTTCTTTCCTTTATAAATTACCCAGTCTCAGGTATTTCTTTATAGCAGTGCAAAAACAGACTAAAGCAGGCACTGAAACAAAAGCTTTCAAACCAGTTTCAGGCAACGAGGAAGCAGACAGAAGAAGCAGTTCTAGGAAACAAATGTATATTAAATTATCTGGAAGAAGGGTTCTGATTATTCAAGACTGCTTTTTACTTCTTTTTATGATCTGGGCACTTTTGTGAAAAGAACATTGATATGGTTTGGGTCTGTGTCTTCACCCAAATCTCATCTCTAATTGCAATACCCACGTGTTAAGGGAGGGAGATGGCTGAATGATGGGGGCAGTTTCCCCCATGCTGTTCTTGTGATATTGAGTAAGTTATCATGAGATCTGATGGTTTCCTAAGTGTTTGGCAGTCCTTTCTTTGCTCCTTACTTGCTCTCCTGCCATCTTGTGAGGAAGCTGTCTGCTTCCCCTTCCACCTTGATTGTGAGTTTCCTGAATCCTTCCCAACCATGCAGAACTGTGAGTCAATTAAACTTCTTTCCTTTATAAATTACTCAGTCTCAGGTATTTCTTTACAGCAGTGCAAAAACAGACTAAAACAGGCAGTGAAACAAAAGCAAACAGTGGAAGAACAACTAATACCACATAGAAACATTTTTAGAGACATAAAGAAGCAAAACTATCAGACTTAAATTATGATGTATTTCCATACCAAGTGTGCCCGCCTCTCCTGCTTCTCATTTCACCTCTTCTACTTCTTTTGCCTTACCACCTCTGAGATAACAATAAAAAACCTTTTTTCTCCTCCTCCTTCTCAGCCTATTCAACATGAAAACAAGAATGAAGAACTTTATAATGATCTACTTCCACTTAATAAATGGTAAATATATTTTCTTTTTCTTATGATTTTCCTAATAACATTTTTTTCTCTAGCTTACTTTTTCATGAGAATATAGTAAACACTACATATAGTATACAAAATTTGTGTTAATCAATTGTTATGTATCAGTGAAGTCTCCGGTAAGAGGTAGGCTATTAGTAGTTAATGTTTTTAGGAGTAAAATGTTATCTGTGGATTTTCAGCAGTTCAGGGGGTCAGCACCCTTAACCCCTGCATTGTTCAAGGATCAAATGATTTACCTAGTAAAGAACTTATTAGTCTAAAAAATAATAGTAATATATTTTCCACTGTATAAAGTTTTATAAAAGGTAGGTGAAAATGATATTCTGACAATTTTATTTATATAAACCTTAGGCAATTCTATTGCCTGAATTGATGCTCCTTTCTTCTCCTAGCTGGCATTTTAGGATACAGTTCTCTTCATTTTTCCCTTGGGTGTTATTTGCTCTAATTTTTTCTCTTTTTTTTTTATTATTCTCAAATTACACCTTTCTACAGGTGAAAAATGTGAACAGCTAAATATATTAATTATTCCCCTTGTTTACAAACATGACAAGTTAATTTTAATAATAAGTACAACAGGGATTAGATTCATTGGTTAACCCAGCATTTGCCAGACACATTTCTTATATAAAAAGTATAGTATGTTACTATACTTGAACAATATGGATTTGAACTGCATGGGTTCACTTATTGCCCATATGTATACAAATATACAGGCAAATTCATTTTGGATTACTTAAAGAATTTAGGCATTAGGACCATATTTATAGTAATCTTAAAAATGCAGGAAAAAATGGTGAATGGTGATGGCAGTGGTGGCCTATTTGGAGCAGCCACTGCAAAGACACTGACTGCAGCAGAGGAGATGCAGTTGAGTCCCTGTGCTCTGTGAAGCTGGCAGGGGCCAGGATAAGGTTGCAGTCCCTCCCCATATCAAGTTGGTGGGGCAGGAGCCCTGCACTCCCAGACATAGCTGCAGCCTCCCAGCTGTGGCTCCAGACCTAGGCATCCCTGTTCTCTCGGGGGCTCAGGAAGCCCCTTATTGCCTCAAGCTTGAAAGTGCCTGCTCCCACTGCCTGGCCTCTCCCCACTCCCAGCACCCACTCCAGGGTGGAGCAAAGTTGTGACCAAGCCTGGGTGCTGTTGTGACCTGGCCAGGAGTTCACATGCTCAGGGAGGCACTGACATCCCAGGCCCCTGCCACCTCAGCTACCCCTGGAATCTGGGCACCAATAAGCATGGAAGGGAGCCTTAGGGGGTGCTGAGGGCAGCTTGGCACAGGCCTGCAGGTGCCCCTCAGCACAAACAACCTGGGTATCATGGATGACATGTCGATGGTGGCAGGAGGCAGACAAGCTCCTGGGTGGAAAGGAGTGGGTCCCTGGTGAAGCTTCACTTTCAAGCCAAAGATGGCATAAAGCCTGGGGGCTGGGCTGTCAGTTCTGGGTGGAGTTTCTGGCGCAGAGTGAGATCTTAAGGTGCTTTTTCCGGGAATGCCCATGGATGCCCATGGACAAATCACCATGGACTTCCTCTCTTCTGAGCCCATAAACACTCTGGACCCAGCCAGACTTATGTAGATCTTGGGACATCAGCTGCAGGAAAGAGCTACCCACTTCAGGTCTTCTCAACTTGTTGGGATGACATGCCTTTAGAAAGGAGCTGCCCACTCCAGGTCTCCTTTCCACTCACAGCTAGACACTCACTGGGATGACCTGCCTGCAGATAAGAGCAATCCACTCCAGATCTCTTCTCCACTGAGAGCTGGATACTCATTGGGATGCCCTGCCTGCAGAAAGGACCTGTCCACTTTGTGTCTTCCAAGAGCTGTTCTATCACTCAGTAAAGCTCCTCTATGCCTTGCTTACCCTCCAGTTGTCTGTGCACCTCATTCTTCCTAGAAGTGGAACAAGAACTCAGGACCTGCCGAATGGTGGGACTGAAAGAGTTGCAAAACAAACAGGGCTGCCAAGTTGCAGATGATGAGAAGAAGAGAAGGGCTACAGCCCTTCAGGGAGCCAAGACTAGGGGACCCACAAGCCAGGGCTGTGACACCCTCTTTGGAGCTCTGCGATCCTAGCATCTCCAAGATTTTGGGTGTCCCTGCTTTCCCCTAGTCCAGATGTAGGTGTCTGCAGCAGAAGCTGCTTGCAGTACATTTGATCCAGCCACAGCCTTGCGTGGAGCCAGCAGCTATGCCAGTGCCTGGAGGTGCACACACCACAGCATCTGGTGTGCCTGGCTATGTGCACTTGCCAGTTCCCACGCTAGCTCCACTCCATGCCTAGCTCACCCTTGGAAGGCATGGATATGGGCTGGTAGGGTGAGCCAAGCACAGCCTGCCATGTCGAATGGGCAGAATGAGCTGAGTGGGCTCGAGCAAAAACCTGGGCAAAAGTGCCACCAGCCACAGAGGTTTCCAGCTGGAAAAGTAACACCCAAAGCATCCTGAGACTTTTTTTCTTTCTTTTTTTTTTTATTATTCTCAGGTTACATCTTTCTACACATGACAAATGTAAGCAGTTAAATATATTTACAATTTCCCTTGCTTGGAAACATGACAAGTTAATTTTAATAATATGTGCCATAGGGATTAAAAGCATTGGTTAGCTCAGAATTTGCCAGATACATTTCTTATCTAGGGAGTATAGTAAGCATATTGCTAATATTTATACAAATATCAAGGCTAATTCATTTTGGATTACAAAAGGAATCTAGGCATTAGGATTATATGTATAGTGATCTTCAAAATGCAATAAAAATGGTGGCTAGCAGGCAGGACTAACTTGCAGCTGTCACTCAGAAACACAGAACAGCATGTGGAGACTCAGATTGTGAACTTTTGCTCTAAGAACTACTGCAGTAATAAACTAGGAAAACTGAAAGAATTCACAGGTGCCCTGAAAAAGTGGCTCACTGCTGCAAACTTCGTGAGACAGCCCCAAAGTGTGAGAGTGGGAAAGTATGCCTCCAACTACACATCATCACTGGGGAAGCTGAAAATCCAGATCACGGGAGAAGAATTTAACCTTCCCTAGGGCTGAGACAAATTTTGAGAGCCAAATGAAATATAAAAGTAGAATAAGCCACAGGAAGAGCCCTGTAGTCACTTCTGGTCTGCAGGGAAGCCATTTCTGACTTTATCTCACAGGGTTCTTTGGGGAGGGCTGCGAGTGGAATTGGGGAAAGACCACAGAGAGAAGATTTCCAGTGGAACTTCATAATAATTTTGACATAGTGTGAGTTTTTCTGGGCAGGATTGGTGAAGGGTGGTGGGGGGATGAACAGGAAATGCAGATATGAGCACAGAAGCCATGGCACACAGTAAGAGGTGGGACCTGAAAACCCTGCTTGCAATCTCAGCAGGGAGGCTTGTAGCCTGGAGAAAGATCTTAGCCCTGCTCACTGGCTGCCTGGATATTAACTCAGTGCTATTGGTGGCACACGATGGAAGTGAGGCTGGCCCTGCTTGTTGTATGGGAGTGGGTGTGGCCTGTCAGCCAGATTTCCCCCACTTTCCTGGAAACCTGTATGAAGCAGCAGAGGCAGCCATAATTGCCCTGGGAACATAGCTACATTTGCCTAAGAACCATGCCCAATCCTCCACCGTGGCCCCAGCCATCACTGCCCAAGGAAAGCATGAGCTCAGACATGCCTAACCCTGCCCCCACCTGATGGTCTCTCTCTCTCCCCACCCTGGTAGCCAAACACAAAAGACACAATCTCTTAGGAGCTCTATGACCCCACCTATTGCCTAGAAACCTGAATCCCTATGCAGGTGACCTCAGGACAAGCTTGTATACCCCCACACTACCACAGCTGATGCTCCTTTGAATGTACCACCTCCTGGCTAGAGGCCAATTAGCCCAAGCCATTACAGCAACTCATAAAAGAATAATCCTGCTCCAAACAACAACTAAGTCCATGGCCTGTGACATCCTGGCTAACCAGAGGTCCTGAATCTGTCCACATGACAACTTCACTGCTAGCACAAGCAGCATTCAAGAAAACCAGTGCACTAAACAAAACTGCAACTAAGGACTCATACAGAGTGTCTACCTCACTCCCCTGCCACCTCCACTGGAGCAGGTGCTGATGTCCATGGCTGAGAAACCTGAAGAGGGACCACATCACAGGGCTATTTACAGACATTCCCTAGTACCAGCCCAGAGCTCAGCAGCTCCACTGGGTGGCTAGACTCAGAAGTGCAATAAGAATCACTACAGTCCAGCTCCCAAGAAGTGCCATTTCTAAGGGAAGGAGGAGAGCACCAGATCAAGGGATAACTCTGTGGTACAAAAGAATCTGAATAGCAGCCCTTGAGCCACAGATTTCTCCTCTGATATAGTCTACCCAAATGAGAAGATATCAGAAAAAATAATTCTGGTAATATGACAAAGCAAGGTTCTTTAACAACCCCAAAAGATCACACTTAGCTCACCAGCAATGGATCTGAACCAAAAAGAAATCTCTGAATTGCCAGAAAAAGAGTTTAGAAGGTCAATTATTCAGCTAATCAAGGAGCCATCAGAGAAAGGTGAATATCAACTTAAAAAAAGAAAAAAATACAGGTATGAACAGAAAAATATCCAGATAAATAGCATAAATAAAAAACAATAATAACTTCTAGAAATAAAAGATACACTTCAAGAAATGCAAAATACACTGGAAATTCTATTGTTCAACAATAGAATTGAACAATAGAAGAAATATCTTCAGAGCTCAAAGACAAGGCTTTTGAATTAACTCAATCTGACAAAGAGAAAGAAAAAAGAATAAAAAGATGAACAAAGCCTCCAAGAAGTTTGGGATTCTGTGAAATGACCAAATCTAAGCATAATTCGTGTTCCCGAGGAAGAAAAGAAATCTAGAATTTTGAAAAACTTACTTGAGGGAATAATTGAGGAAAACTTCTCTGGCCTTTATAGAAATCTAAACATTCAAATACAAGAAGCTCAAAGAATATCTAGAAAACTTATTGTAAAAATATTATCACCTAGGCATATAGCCTTTGAGTTATCTAAAGTCAAGATGAAGGAAATAATCTTAAGAGCTGTGAGGCAAAAGCATGAGGAAACCTATCAAAAAAAAAAAAAAAAAACCTATCAGATTAACAGCAGATTTCTCAGCAGAAGCCCTGCAAACTGGAAGGGACTGGAGTTCTATCTTTAGCCTTCTTAAACAAAACAAATATCTGCCAAGGATTTTGTATCCAGTAAAATTAAGCTTCGTAAATTAAGAAAATATAAAGTCCTTTTTAGACAAACAAATGCTGAGAGAATTAACCACTACCAAGCCAGTACTGCAAGAAATGCTAAAAGGGGTTCTAAATCTTGATAAACATTTTAAAAATACACCAAAATAGAACCCTTTAAAATATAAATCACACAGTTATTGTTTAAATATAAAACAATAACACAATGAATGGAAAAAACAGAATACTTAGGTATAAACTGGCACAATAAATAGAATAGTACCTCACATTTCAATAATAACACTGAATGTAAGTGGTGTAAATGCTCCACTTAAAAGATACTGAACTGCAGAATGGATAAGAGTTCACCAACCAAGTATCTGCTGTCTTTAAGAGACTCACCTACCACATAAGGACTCAAATACATTTAAAGTAAAGGGGTGAAAAAGATATTCCATGCAAATGAACACCAAAAGTGAGCAGGATTAGCTATTCCTATATCAAACAAAGCAAACTTTAAAGCAACAGCAGTTAAAAAAGACAAAGAGAACACTATATAATGATAAAAGTCCTGCTCAGCAGGAAAATATCACAATGCTAAATATATATGCACCTAAAACTGGAGCTCCCAAATTTATAAAATAATTAGTACTAAACCTAAGAAATGATAGACAGAAACACAATAAGAGTGGAGGATGTTAATACTCCAGTGACAGCACTAGACAGGTTATCAAAATAGAAAGTAAATAAGGAAACAATGGACTTAAACTACATCCTAGAACAAAGGGATTTAACAGATATTTACAAAACTTTCTACCCCAAAACTGCAGAATATACATTCTATTCATCAACACATGGAACATTCTCCTTGAGAGACCAAATGATAGGCTACAAAACAAATCTCAAAAAGTTTCAGAAAAATTGAAATTATATCAAGTACTCTCTCAGACCACAGTGTAATAAAATTGGAAATCAACTCCAAAGGAAACCCTCAAAATCATGTAAATACTTGGAATGATCACTGGGTAAACAATGAAATGAAGAGAGAAATTTTTTAAAAAATATTTAATCTAAATGATAACAGTGACACAACCTATCAAAACTTTTGGAATACAGCAAAGGCAGTGCTAAGAGGAAGGTTCATAGCCTTAAATGCCTACATCTAAAAGTCTGAAAAACAGCAGGTGTGGTGGCTCACGCCTGTAATCCCAGCACTTTAGGAGACTGAGGTGGGCAGATCACTTGAGGTCAGGAGTTCAAGACCAGCCTGCCCAACATAATGAAACCTCATCTCTACTAAAAACACAAAAATTAGCAGGGTGTGGTGGCACACACCTGTAATCCCAGTTACTTGGGAGGCTGAAGCATAAGAATCTTTTGAACCCTAGAGGCAGAGGTTGCAGTGAGCCAAGATGACGCCACTGCACTCCAGCCTGGGCAACAGAGCAAGGCTCCGTCTCCAAGAATAAATAAATAAATAAATAAAATAAAAAGGCTGAAAGAGCACAAACAGAAAATCTAAGGTCATGCCACAAGGAACCAAACAAGAACAAACCAAACCCAAACCCAGCAGAAGAAAATAACCACTATCAGAGCAGAACTAAATGAAATTAAAACAACAACAAAAAATACAAAAGATAAATAAAACAAAAAGCTAGTTCTTTGGAAAGAAAAATAAAATGGATAAAAAAGCAAGATTAATCAAGAAAAGAAGAGAGAAGATCCAAATAAGCTTAATTAGAAATGAAATAGGAGCTATTACAACAAACAACACAGAAATACAAAAGAGCATTCAAGGCTACTATAAATACCTTTACATGCATAAACTAGAAAACCTAGAGGAGACGGATACATTTCTGAAAATATACAACTCTCCTCAATTAAACCTAAAAGAAATATAAACCCTGAACAGACCAATAATAAGCAGAAAGACTGAAATGGTAATAAAAATGTTGCTATCAAAAAAATGTCCAGGACCAGATGGCTTTACAGTTGAATTATATCAGACATTAAAAGAAGAATTGGTGCAAATTGTATTGAGACTATTCCAAAAGATAAAGAAAGAGACAATCCTGCCTAAATCACCCTATGAAGCCAGTATCACTGTAATACCAAAACCTGGAAAGGACATAACAGAAAACGAAAACTACAGATCAACATCCCTGATGAAAATAGATCCAAAAATCCTCAGCAAAATACTAGCTAACCAAATCTAAAGGCATATAAAAAGGTAATCCACCATGATCAAGTGAGTATCACAACAGAGATGTAGAAATGGTTTAACATACAGAGGTCAATAAATGTGATACAGTACACAAAGAGAACAAAAAACAAAAATCACATGATCATCTCAATAGAGGCAGAAAAAGCCTCTGGCAAAATCCAGCATCCCTTTATTATTAAAACCCTCAGCAAAATTCGCAAAGAAGGGACATGCCATAAGGTAATAAAAGCCATCTACAACAAACCCACAGCCAACATTACACAGATTGAGGAAAAGATGAAAGCATTTCCCCTGAGAACTAGAACAAGACAAGGATACTCAATTTTACCACTTCTATTCAACATAGTATTGGAAGATCTAGCCAGAGCAATCAGACAAGATAAATACATTAAGAACATCCAAACCACTTAAAAGGTATTTAAACTGTCATGGTTCACTGATGGCCATCTACCTAGAAAGCCCTAAAGACTCATTGAAAACTTCCTAGTTCTGATAAATGAATTCAATAAAAGTTTTAGGATACAAAATCAATGTACACAAATCATTAGCACTGCTATATACCAACAGTGACCAAGCTGAGAATCAAATCAAGAACTCAACTGTCTTTACAATAGCTGCAAAAAAAAAAAAAAATTACCTAGGAATATACCTAACCAAGGAGGTGAAAAAGTTCTGTAAGGGAAACTGCAAAACACTACTGAAAGAAATCATAGATGACACAAACAAATTGAAACTCATTCCATGCTCATGACTGGGTAGAATCAATACTGTGAAAATAACCATATTACCAAAATAAATCTACAAATGCAATGCAATTCCCATCAAAATATCATCGTTCTTTACAGAACTAGAAAAAACAATCCTAAAATTCATATGGAACCAAAAAAAAAGCTCACATAGTCAAAGCAAGACTAAGCAAAAAGAACAAATCTGCTGGCATTGAATTACTCCACTTCAAATTATATCATAAGGCTACAGTCACCAAAACAGCCTGATACTGGAATAAAAATATACACCTAGACAAATGGAACATAATAGAGAACCCAGAAATAAACTCAAATACTTAGAGCCAATTGATCTTCCACAAAGCAAACAAAAATGTAAAGTGGAGAAAGGATACCTTACTCAATAAATGGTGCTGGAATAATTGGCAAACATGTAGAAGAATGAAAGCAGATCCTCATCTCTCACTTTCTAAAAAATCAACTCAAGATGGATCAAAGACTTAAATCTAAGACCTGAAACTATAATAGAAGTTAACATCAGAAAATCTTTTCTAGACATTAGCTTTGGCAAAGACTTAATGGCCAAGAACCCAAAAGCAAATGTAACAGAAACAAAGATAAATTTATGTGACTTAATTAAACTAAAATCCTTCTGCACAGAAAAATAAATAATCAGCAAACAGATAATTCGCAGAATTGGAGAAAATCTTTCCAAACTATGCATCCAACAAAGGAATCATATCCAGAATCTACAAGGAACTCAAACAAATCATCAAGAAAAAAACAAATAGTACCATCAAAAAGTCAGTTAAGGCACGAATAGGCAATTCTCAAAAGAAGATGTACAAATGGCCAACAAACATGAAAAAAATGCTCAACATCACTAATTATCAGGGAAATGAAAATTAAAGCCACAGTGTGATGCTACCTTATTCCTGCAAAAAATGACCATAATTTTTAAAAATCTAAAAAATAATATATGTTGGTATAGATGTGGTGAAAAGGGAACACCTTTACACTTCTGGTGGGAATGTAAAAACTAGTACAACCGCTATGGAAAACAGTATGGAGATTCCTTAAAGAACAAAAAGTAGAACTATCATTTGATCTAGTAATTCCACTACTGGGTATCTACTGAGAGGAAAAGAAGTCATATGAAAAAGACACTTGCACATGCATGTTTATAGAAGTACAATTTGCAATTGCAAAAATATGGAACCACCCCAAATGCCCATCAATCAATAAGTGGATAATGTAATATCTATGTATAATATATAGATATTGTATAGATATAGATATTATATATATAGATATTTCTATCTATATGTCTACATTATGGAATTCTATTCGGTCATAAAAAGGAATGAAATAATTGCATTCACAGCGGCTGCCTGGATGGAGTTGGAGATCATTATTTTAAGTGAAGTAACTCAGGAATGGAAAATCAAGCATCATAGATTCTCAGTTTTAAGTGGGAGCTAAGCTATGAGGACACAAAAGGTGTGAATGATTGTTGGGGTTCAATCAGGCTGGTGGGAAATACAGAAATAGACACAAAACTCTCTTGGAAGGCCTGAGAGTTTGCATAGCTTCAGATTGCTTGGCTGAAGGCAGCCAGGGTCTCTTTACAGGAGCCAGAAAGATTAGGGTGCAAGTACAAAGGAATGTGGGAAGTCTATTTTACTAACCTGTTTACTTACATGGGCTTAAGACTGACCTTTGTCCTACCGCGCAGGTACTTTACTGCCTCCTACTGGGGGTCGGCAGAAGTTTATTACCCGCAAATGGTGTTTGCTTTAGGTCTTGGCCTTTTAATCTTTACCCTCTAGTGGTATTTACTCATGACTTTCATTAATTAGTCTAACTGAATAAATGCGAGCCTCACTAGCTGATCAGGGTTGAGTGGCAACTGTTTACAGAACTCAGCTTGGAGCCTGTAAGCGGCTCACTCAGCTGCACTGGCAGAGCAGAATATCTGTGTGTCAGTGTACCTTTATTCATCCGTCACTCTATCACCAGCCAATCGGAAAATGCGCCACACTGAAGGCACGTCTTCCCCACTCAGTTCACAAACTCACGTGACAATCTCCTTCAGAAACACTTGTACAGACACATCCAGAAATAATACTTTATTAGCTAACTAGTTATCCCTGAATCCAGTCAAGTTGTCACCTAAAATTAAGCATCACATAAGCCAACGTCTCATGGGAAACCTCCACACCCACTTCTGCCTTCCAACCTCCTCAATTTCCTTCTGGTTTTCTGCCTTTCAGATACCAGCCATTTCGGTAGTTCAAAGCTATTGTCTCTGACTCATTTACTTCAAAGGGACTGATGTGATCTGTATGGCTCTGAATTCCTGTCCAGCTATCAGTATTGTCTCTACAGAGAAAAGAGGCAATCATGGAATTCACTGCAGGAGATTCTCTTCTTTCAGGAACCACTGTCTTCCATTTCCTGTTCCCTGGTGACCAATGTCTGAAAACCATATTCTTATTCAATAGATTTTAGTATTTTTTTGTTTCATTTTTTGAAAACTAGTCTATTACTACTCTCATTGCCAAAAACAAGTCTGCTTCCTTAATAAGGAAAACAATTATGTTTTCATAATTTTTACTTATTTTGTAAATCTTAGAATTTTATAAATGAATACTATCAGTGTTAGTGTTTAAAAACAGCATGTAGCAATGTTAAAATTTTCAAAATAAGTTTTTGTTTATAGGACATTTTTGCCAAATTAGTTATCCTCTCATTTTTCAAAAATAAATTTTATTAAAAGGACACATTAGATATCACTTCACCAGCTCCAATATTTGCTGGATAATATGAAGGTCAGCATGTTTGTAAGTACTACTTTTATAAAAGAAAAAAGTAACTCATATTTAATCTGTGGAATTAACATTTTAGCAGCAAGAACATTCATAATCTCTATATGACAAAAAATATGTCCAAGATTATGTTTTGTCACATTAAAATTAGCATGAAATTTTCACTATTCATATAATTTATAGTCAATTCCACTAGTATAATAATATATAAGAGAAAGAGAAAATGAGTACTCAGTAGTCAATTCTCCTACCATATTGGAAATTGTGTTCATTCCCTGTGATTATGTGCAAATCACATACTGATCTAACATGCAAAGTCAACCTGTATGTTATAAATGTATAAAGCTCAAATCATATATATGAGATACAAATGTATATATCAGATTGTCTTCCAGTATCTTTCTTTTGGAGCTTGCTTGTATTGTTTTTGGGGAGTGGACACCACAGTTTGGAGAGTTCTGCTTTTGTATTTGTTACATAGGTTTTCACAAGATTTAACTAAAATTCACATTAACTTTCAAATTTGAAAATATCTGCATGAGTTTAATTGCACAGACTTGATTTTTCAGTTTCTCACAGGAAGCATTTGTTTTTCTCTCTAGAACCTTTAGCAGAAATGAGCTTTATTTTTCCCTGATCTATAATTGAAGACTTTTTTTTTTTTTTTTTTTGAGGCAGAGTCTCACTCTCTCACCCAGGCTGGAGTGCGATGGCAAGATCTCGGCTCACTGCAACCTCCGCCTCCTGGGTTCAAGCAATTCTTCCGCCTCACCCTCCCGAATAGCTGGGATTACAGGCACACGCCACCAGGCCTGGCTAATTTTTGTATTTTTGTAGAGACGGAGTTTCACCATGTTAGCCAGGCTGGCCTTGAATTCCTGACCTCAGGTGATCTGCCCGCCTTGGCCCAAAGTGCTGGGATTATAGGCATGAGCCACTGTGCCCGGCCAGAAGATTAAAAAAAAAAAAAAAAAAGATTTAAACCACCCTTTTGCTGATAAATCAGCCCTACCAGGATATCTGCTTGAGAGAGGGCTCTATTTTCATCTTCCTTCTTCAGAGGGGATAAGGTCAAGTCTCTTAGGTGTTCATGAGAGAGAATCCAGTATCTCTCTGTTAGTCTTGATTTGGTTAAATTCGTCTTCTGATAATGCATATAATTGATGGAATTCAAATGTGTCAAAAGAATATAAATGTAAACATAAAAACCACATTTTATTTAGCAAAAATATATCACCAAATAGAAATATTTGATATTCTGTGAATATGTATTATATATATATGATATTGTTACATTTCACTTTGTTATACTTTAGAGATTTAAAGTAAAAATATCAATCGCTTTATTAAATGATTTTTTTAGATCAAGCTTTTTATCAGATGTAAGAAACATTTGTATGTGTGTTTGATACATACTTTTTCACTGTCATATTTGTAAGCAGGATCAAGACTTTTAGAGTTTTGAAAATAAGACTTGACTTTGGGCTGTTTTGGATCAAAGGTTTTATTTGCATTTAACTGTAAGCTATTTTTTCATTCTTTTTACAAGCAGATTAGACTTTCAAATGAAAGTGTAAAGGGAAAAAGAAACAAAATCCATAATACCTTTCTTAGTTAAGGATGAATACTAGAAATAAAAATAGAAATATCCATTTACTATTGGTATTACAAATAAAAACTTCCATGGTAAGATATATTACTGTGTTGTTGATTGAGCCTAAGTATTAAGTGCAGCATCATTATAGAATGAAAATAAAGTATAACTGTAGGTTTCCTAGCTCCAGAAATGCTACCTCCAAATAATAATATTTACCTTTAAAATAACTTTATATTTTCATATGAAAACAATTAATATCCATCCTTAACCTAGCAGCTTGTGGCATTATTTTATAAATTTAAAATTCATGAATCCCTTTGAACAAGGGATTTGCATAAAAAGGCTATTAGAAGGCTAAAAATACAGCAGAGGCAGAAAATATTTGAAGAAGAAACCTGAATATAAGAAATTTGTCAAACAGAAAGGATCTTTGAAAAGACAAGGCTGATTTCATTCTTTCTTTGTGTCTTTTTTACTCTCTTCCCAATTGGTCACTGCTCTCAGACTGACTTTGCCCTTTGACTCACTCTGTTAAACATACTTCATGCCAAAGTAATGTTTTCTCTTGTCATCACCCATCACAATTTTTCTGTCCTGTGTCACATTCCTTTGGTCCTTATTAAATAGCAAGCTGCTTAATCTGTAAATCAAATTACAATGTTAAGCTTAACAACCCTGGTGTCCAACATTTTTAAAATTATAAACTTCAGGTTTCCTAAACTGAATGATGTCAGTTAGGTTGGGTTTCTATGAAAGAAGTGATTGAATGAAAGTTTATGGGAAATAAAAGGTTCTCAAATTCTGCACATTATATAGCTCATTAATAGTAGTCCACAAACTAAGTAAACATCATTTTTACAGAAATGTTTTATTTTTTCTTGAGTTATAAATATACAATTTTAATTTACCAGGTCATAATTGTTTACCTACATGTAATAGAAAACCTCAACTCTAATATATTTAATAATAATATTTTTATATTAAAAACCAAACATTAAAGAGTTGGCCAATATTTTGATACACACCTATTTCTAAAGAGATCAATAGCAAGGGAAATGAGATTGAAATAAGTGACTGTTCATTTATAATTCACTTTTTATAGCTGTTTTTGAGATCTATCTCATCTGATGTCTATGACAGATAACCTGGGAAAAATTGGGATTACTTTACTAAAAATGAAGTAAAGGGCAGATTCATTGATGACTAAGCAACTGCGGCCTTTCTCTTTTGAATTAGAGGATCTTACTGTATTCGTTATATCTCCCCCTTTTTAATACTAAAAATACAACCAAGCAAAACAAACAAACCAAGAAAAGATAAAAGAGCGCTAGTCAGGTTACAATTTTCCTAACTGTTCTTCACTTGTAGCTGGTCCTCTGCCTCTGCACATTTGAACAGTAGAAAACCTCAAAGCAAAATATTCCTGCCCATCTGAAAAGGAATGCCAGAAAAATGTGTAAATTTAATCAAGTGTTAGAAGTGATGTGGTTATACAAAGATAGTTTCTTTGATTATGGTTCAATGCTTATTATAGACTAACCCAACGGTTGTTTCAAACTTGCTTAAATAGCAGCCTTATCCTGTATAAAATTGTGGCAACATTATAGTGTTCCATATATTAACTAGATATTCCTTTCCTATTTCTCCCTCTCTCATTCTGATTATTAAGTTTTCACTGATTGTCATCCTCGCAGTAACACCAATTTGAACAACTATCCACACAAAAATCACCTTTATAAGAACCAAAAATCAGGGAAGTGAACACAGTACCTGGTTTTAACTTCATATCACAGAAAGAGGCACATAAGAGGGTAGGGAAGATGGTCTTGAATTGTTAATGCTACCCCTCCCTCAACCTCCAGAAGTGACCACATGAAATGAAGAAAAAATCTGTGCACTTGAGGGAGTAAGAGTGCAGTGATTCTCTTTGGTTTAATTAGTTCCCATTTGTAAATTTTGGTTTTTGTTGCCATTGCTTTTGGTGTTTAGTCAGAAAGTCTTTGCCCATGCCTATGTCCTCAATGGTGTTGCCTAGGTTTTTGTCTAGAGTTTTTATGGTTTTAGGTATTATGTTTAAGTCTTTAATTCATCTTGAGTTAATTTTTGTATAAAGTGTAAGGAAGGGGTCCAGTTTCAGTTTTCGGCATATGGCTAGCCAGTTTTCCCAACAACATTTATTAAATAGGGAATCCTTTCCCCATTGCTTGTTTTTCTCAGGTTTGTCAAAGATCAGATGATTGTAGATGCGTCGCGTTATTTCTGAGGCCTTTGTTCTGTTCCATTGGTCTATATATCTGTTTTGGTACCAGTATCATGCTATTTTGGTTATTGTAGCCTTGTAGTATTGTTTGAAGTAAGGTAGCATGATCCCTCCAGCTTTGTTCTTTTTGCTTAGGCTTGTCTTGGCTATAGGGGCTCTTTTTGTTCCATATGACATTTAAAGTAGTTTTTTTCCAATTCTGTGAAGAAAATCAGTGGTAGCTTGATGGGGATAGCATTGAATCAATAAATTACTTTGGGCAGTATGGCCATTTTCATGATATTGATTCTTCCTATCCATGAGCATGGAATGTTTTTTCATTTGTTTGTGTCCTCTCTTCCATCTGACAAAGGTGTAATATACAGAATCCACAAAGAACTTAAAGAAATTTACAAGAAAAAAGAACAAACAACCCCATCAAAAACATGGGCAAAGGATATGAACAGACACTTCTCAAAAGAAATTTAGGCAGCCAGCAAACATATGAAAAAAAGCTCATAACTATTGGCCATTAGAGAAATGCAAATCAAAACCACAATGAGATGCCATCTCACACCAGTTAGAATGGTGATCGTTAGAAAGTCAGGAAACAACAGATGCTGGAGAGGATGTGGAGACATAGGAACACTTTTATACTGTTGGTGGGAGTGTTAATTAGTTCAACCATTGTGGAAGACAGTGTGGCAATTCCTCAAGGATCTAGAACTAGCAATCCCATTACTGGGTATATACCCAAAGGATTATGAATCATTCTACTATCAAGACACATGCACACATATGTTTATTGCAGCACTGTTCACAATAGCAAAGACTTTGAACCAACCCAAATGTCCATCAATGATAGACTGGATTAAGAAAATGTGGCACATATACACCGTGGAATACTATGCAGCCATAAAAAAGATTAGTGTATGTCCTTTGCAGAGACATGGATGAAGCTGGAAACCATAATTCTCAGTAAGCTAACACAGGAACAGAAAACCAAACACTGCATGTTCTCACTTATAAGTGGGAGTTGAACATGAGAACACATGGACACAGTGAGGGGAGCACCACACATTGGGGCCTCTCTGGGGGTAGGGGGAAGGCTAGGTGAGGGATAGCATTAGGATAAATACCTAATGTAGATGATGGGTTGATGGGTGTAGCAAACCACCATGGCACGTGTATACCTATGTAACAAACCTGCAAGTTTTGCACATGTATCCCAGAACTTAAAGTATAATAATAATGAGTGCAGTGATTATGGACTTTTCATTGGAACTCCGAACTACCCTGTCACAGTGGAAAGTAACATCAGACAGAGTTGTGCCAATGTCCATGGATAAATCATTTAGACCAACCCTAGCCAGAAGGGAATCATCTATCACAGCAGTCGAAGTTTGAGTTCCAATATGCCTTGCCTCCACGGGTTAATAATATACTCTGGGTTTCAAAGGCAGTCTAAGCCATAAGGACTGCAATCCCATTGCAAGTCCTGGCATTGTGCTGGGCTCTGACCTAGTGGACTTGGGGCATATACGACCTAGTTAGATAGTAGCCAGAGTTGGCAAGGGAGTGCTTGCATTACCCCTCCCTCAAACTCAGGTGGTACAGCTCACAGCTTTAGAAAGAATCTTTTGCTCTGCTTACAGAGAGAAGAGAGAAGAGTAAAGAGGACTTTGACTTGAATTTGGATACCAGCTCATCCAGCTTAAGCACAGGGCACCAGGCAGAGTCCTAAGGGCCCCAGTCCAGGCACTATCACCTAGATAACAATTTTAGGTATATCCTGGGCTAGAAGGAAACCTACTTCCTTGAAGGGAAAGGCCAAGTCCTGACAGGATTAATCATTTTGTGACTAAAGATGTCCTTGGGCCCTGAATAATCAGTAGTAATATCCAGGCAATACTCACTGTGGAACTTGGGTGACTCAGATATGGGCTGACCTCAGGTGTGACCCAGCACATTCCCATCTGTGGTGTCTATAGGGAGAGACTCCTTCTGCTTGAGAAAAGGAGAATGAAAAGTAAAGAGGACTTTGCATTGTAAGTTAGGTACCAGCTCAGCCACAGTGGGTAGAGCACTAGTGGGCTCCTGGGGTCCCTGATTTCAGACCTTGGCTCCTACGTGGCACTTCTGGAACTAACTTGAGACAGAGGGGAGCCTACTGCCCTGAAGGGAGAGTTCCAGGACTGGCAGCATTCACCACAGGCTACCTAAAAAGTCATTTAGCCTTGAGTGAACATTGGTAGTAGCTAGGCAGTACTCATTACAGACCTGGGGTGGTGGTTGCCAAGGGTATAGACTCCTCTGTTTGTGGTAAGGGTAGGAATGAGTAGGAAGGACTTTGTCTTATTGCTTGGGTGCCAGCTAAGCTGCAGAAGAAAAGATCACCAGGTAGATTCCTAAGGTTTTTGACTCCAGGACCCAGAATATCTGGATCTGTCTGGGACAGAGGGGATCTTGCCACCCAGAAGGGAAGGACACAAGCTTGGCTGGCTTTTCCACCTGCTGATTATAAAGCACTAGGGCCTTGAGTTAACATAGGCAGTAGCCTAAAAGTGATTATCTTAGGCCTTAGGTAAGACCCACTAACACGCTGGCTTCAGGTCTCACCCAATGCAGTCTCTGTGGTAGTGGCAAGAGGGGTGCTTGTGTCACCCTTCCCCCAGCTCCAGGCAACTCAGCACCGAGAGATAGACTCTGTTTGTTTAGGAGAAAGTAAGGAAGGAGAACAAGAGTCTCTGTCAGGTAATCGAGAGAATTCTTCCAGATCTTATTCAAGACCACCGAAGCAGTACCATTGTGAGTCTGCAATAACCACAGAATTACTGGGCTTGGGTGCCCCCTAATGCATATATGGCTGCAGAAACAAAATCTTAGATTACAACAATGAAGACCCTTCGAATACCTGGAAAGCCTTCCCAAGAAAGATTGGTACAAAAAAATGCAGACTACAGAGACTACAATACTTAACTCTTCAGGACACACATATCAGCAAACATTCACAAACATCAGGAGCATCCAGAAAATTACAACCTCATCAAACAAACTAAAAAAAATCACTGGAGAGACAGAGATATATGACCTTTCAGACAGAATTCAAAATAGTTCTAAGAAAACAAAATGAAATTCAAGAAAACAGAGAGAAGGAATTCAGAATCCTGTCAAATAAATTTAACAATGAGATTGAAATAATTTTAAAAGATGAAGCAAACATTCTGGAACTGAAAAATGCAAGTAACATTTTTCAGTAGAATTTATCAGAGTCCCTTAGCAGCAGAATTGATCAAGTGTAAGAAAGAATTACCATCCTTGAAGACAGGGTATTTGAAAACACATAGAATAGGGAGAAAAAAAAAATCATGCTGACAAGATCTAGAAAGTAGCCTCAAAAAGGCAACGCTGAGCATTATTGGTCTTAAAGAGGAAGAAGGGAGAGGGGGGCAGACAATTTATTCAAAGGGATAATAACAGAAAACTTCCCAAATGTATAAAAATATATCGATATGCAAGTATGAGAAAGATATAGAAAACCAAGTAGATTTAATACAAATAAGACTACTTCAAGACATTTAACTATCAAACTCCCAAAGTCAAAGATAAAGAAAGCATCCTAAAAGCATCAAGATAAAAGAAACAAATAACATACAATGGAGCTCCAATACATCTGTTAACAGACTTTTCAGTGGAAACCTTGCAGTCCAGGAGACAGCAGTATGACATATTTCATCCTAGAATATTATATCTGGTGAAATTTTCCTTGAAACATGAAGGAGAAATAAAGACTTTCCCAGACAAGCAAAATCTGAGGGATCAGACTGAAGAACTCTCTTTAGCCTTCCTTGTAGCCCAGGCCATCAACACAAGATCTATCCTACAAGAAATGCTAAAGGGAGTTCTTCAACCTGAAAGAAAAGGTTGTTAATGAGTAAAAAGAAATCATCTGAAGGTGCAAAACTCACTGGTAATAGTAAGTACACAGAAAAACACAGAATATTATAATGCAGTAATTGTTTGTAGACTATGAATATTTTGAGTAGAAGGACTAAAAGATGAACCAACCACAAATAATAACTACAATTTTATAAGACATACATAGTATACTAAGATATAAATAGAAACTACAAAATGTTAAACAACAAGGATATGAAGTTACAGTGTAGAGTTTTTTAAATTTGTTTTATCTTTGCTTGTTTGTTTGTTTGTCTAGGCAATCAGTGTTTTGTTGTCATCAGTTTAAAATGACGGATTATAAGATACTATTTTCAAGCCTCATGGTAAAATCAAAACAAAAAAGCATGCAACAGATATACAAAAAGAGAAAAAGCAAAAAAATTAAAACATGCCACTGAAAATTACCTTCACACAAAGGAAGACAGGAAGGAAGGAAAGAAGGAAGGAAGAGAAGAACACAAAATAACAAGAAAACAAACAAACAAAAAAACAAAATGGCAGAAGTAAGTCCTTATTTCTCAATAATAACATTGAACTTAAGTGGACTGAATTCTCCAAATCCTGGCCAACATGGTGAAACCCCATCTCTACTAAAAATACAAAAAATTAGCCAGGTGTGGTGGTGGAAGCCTGTAGTCCCAGCTACTCGGGGAGGCTGAGACAGGAGAATGGCGTGAACCTGGGAGGCGGAGCTTGCAAAGTGAGCCAAGATGGCGCCACTGCACTCCAGTCTGGGTGACAGAGTGAGACTCTGACTCAAAAAACAAAAAACAAACAAACAAAAAAGATACAGAGGCCTGAATGGATAAAATAAGGAAGCCTATCAATTTGTTGCCTACAAGAGACACACTTTATCTATAAAGACACTCGTAGACTGAAAATAAAGGCAAAGAAAGAAATATTTTATGTAAATGGAAGCCAAAAAAAAGCAGGAATAGCTATTCTTATATCAGACAAAATGGATTCAAAAACAAAAACTATAAGGAGAGACAAAAAATATTATATAATGACAAAGGGTAAATTCATTACGATAATATAGCAATTGCAAATGTATATGCACCCAACATTGAACACCCAGAGATATAAAGCAAATAATTTTAGAGCTAAAGACAGAGAGAGACCCCATTACAATAATAGCTGGAGCCTGCAACATCCCACTTTCAGCATTGCACAGATCATCCAGACAGAAAATCTACAAAGAAACACTGGACTTAATCTACACTGTAAGAGATTACACTTAAATCTCTCTTAAAGATTTTCAAATTACCATTTCCACTTACTTGCTGAAATCACATCTTCTAACAGAATATTAACCCCAAATTGAAAACATTTTAATGACACATTCTGAGCTATTTTGAGGCACTGAGTTGGGTTCAGAGTATAATACAGCACGTTTACCTGTCTGCTTCTGGTCTTCTAATGTCATTCATTCTAATTTGGGCACTGAAGACTGCTTCTGCTTTTCACTGTTTAATCTTTACTGACATGATGCCTTTTTTTTAATCTTTTGATCAGAATGAAACATTTTCACTCAGTTTAATCTCAGGTTTTAATATCTTTCATAGGTTTTACATTTGCTTTCATATACAATACCTAGTATATGTGCTTCTTCTTCCTTATGATATATATATGAGATATATACATACATATATATATGAGATATATACATACATATATATATGAGATATATACATACATATATATATATATATATATATATATATATATATATTTTTTTTTTTTTTTTTTTTTTTTTTTTTTTTTTTTTTGAGACGAAGTCTTGCTCTGTGGCCCAGGCTGGAGTGCAGTGGCGCGATCTCTGCTCACTGCAAGCTCCGCCTCCCAGGTTCACACCATTCTCCTGCCTCAGCCTCCTAGTAGCTGGGACTACAGACGCCCGCTACCACACCCGGCTAATTTTTTGTATTTTTAGTAGAGATGGGGTTTCACCGTGTTAGCCAGGATGGTCTCGATCTCCTGACCTGGTGATCCGCCCTCCTCGGCTTCCCAAAGTGCTGGGATTACAAGCGTGAGCCCCCGCACCCAGCCCCTTGTATTTTTAAAATACTTAAGACTAAGGTGGTGTCTTAATTTTATATGCCATCCAAAAATGTCTAACATTTTGCCTATTATATATTAGAAATCCTTAAATTTTGCTGAAGTAATAAAATTTCTGCCTTGGGGAGAATAACCACAATAAGAAAAGTTTTTACAAATCTGTACCACTGGAAGAATTTTTTCAAGCTAAGAATATGGCGACATGAGTAAGGTACATGTACAGTTTAAGAAGTCATAAAAACACTTCACAATTATGATAAATAATATTTTAATTAAATTTTTAAAAAATCAAAATTACAGCCAAAATCCATAATTAACAAATATCAAAATTTTAAATAAAGATAGTTTTTTTTTTTTTGCTTTGGCTCCCACATGACTGAGTATGGCACTAGATGGAAAGGAGGGGTTATGAGAAGACCATGGGATAAATATTCAGAAATAACTATCAAATACAATGAGTACAGAAATGTAAAAAACATGTACAGGAAAAAAACAGATATTACACTAACTTTGTTTTACCATAAAACTGCTAGTTTGAGCAGCTTTCATTGTAAGCAGAAAGACAGCAATCACAATAATTTTACTTTTTGTTTTTGTTTTGCAAAGAAACACAAAAAGTTAGCTTGTGATTGACTTAAAATAAAGTCAGCTTTAATGTATCACAGAACTTAGAAAATGTGGACCAAATTACTTAGGGTCAATCAGATTTATTTGGAAGATCTTTTCCATTGTTTCCACAGGTTTGATGTGCCTCATTCATCTAAACTTTGCTTCTGTTACTGCCCAGTGCTCTTTTATTTAGTTGTTTTGGATGAATTATTTCTAGGAGGACTTGAACCTCTGTAAAATAAAAGTATGTGTATTAGAATGGATGCTATCTATGGTCTTAAAATCATGAAGTTATCAGGACAGTTCATTAATGGTATAAGAGGTGAGGTATTCTTACTTCTCCTTTGACTAATGTGTACTCACTCTACTCTCTCATAATGGAAAAACACACAGTACTCTCTCACTATTAGAGCAGTTTTTGGACCATATTTGCATAACTCAGTGATGTGTGAAAAATAAAGAGAGAAAAGAGTCTTCATTTTCAACATTTCATTTTTTTGTAGGAAGTTATTATTACTTACTCTTATCAGGTTTAGATTTCCAAAGAAGTCATAGAATTTTGGTCACTTCTTATATTGTTAAACTGTTCTATAGGGTTTATTGTGTTGTACCAGGGGAAAGCACTGGTTTTAAGGCCAGGAAACATTAATTATGGCTCGTTCTGTTTATATGTGTTTGTGCATAATTAATTTTAGACTTCTGGGTGTTGGTTTCCTCATCTTTCAAAAGTGACAGTTGGAATATGTCATATCTACCTCACTAAAATCTAAGTAACTTTTTTGTAATTCTAGAAAGTATTACCTATCTCCACAACTTCAGAGATATAGAGTCACTTGCATATTTTAGGTAGATTAAAAAATGAAAAATAAATCCCTTATGTAATATTTATTTAGCTTTTTGTACTTAATACTATACCATCAGAGTGCCAGAGCACGTGACCACATAGCAACATGTAACCTGACTCAACCAGTTACCTCTTAAACAAGGCTCAGCTTTCTATCCTGAACAGGCAGAGAAACCCAGTTTCAGTTCTCTTCTATGGAATTTTACTCCAAGTCTGCGAAAATATCCAGTCATGTACAGTTGTCTACATTATCTCTCCTATCCTCTGAATAATTATTCTCTTCATTTTTGGAAATAGCATAAAATCTATTTCTAATATCTCTGGAGGCTTATTACAAGTAAGGATCTATGCCATGTCTTCGATGTGAAAAAAAAAAAATAAGATGTTCTTGTGTTTCCAAAGAGTTTATAGCCTTGTAGAGCATGTCTTTATTGTTTTATCATAGCATTATTTCCTGTAACAATTAACAATATAAAATTAAAAGTGTATATATTTATAGATATTTTGTAAATGTTTCAACTTTTTCCAAATAGCTTATTCCTTTCTTTCATGCCCTAAATCAATAACTTTCAACTCTTTCTCTATGAAAAATTATGTTACAATATTAAAGTTTACAAATAATTGTTAATCAGCCTTTTTTAATGTGTCATTATTCTGATTTTATTTTTGTCTAGAGCTGGTATTGGAGAGATTTGTTGCTATTTAGTGGGTTTTCTGATTTTTGTGCTCACAATGACACAATTTCCAAAAGTCCTTCCAGCTTTAGCTTCCTGTTAGTATACTCCAGCCCCTCTTTTATTCCGAGTACCAATGACCATATAATGCATAAAATAATTTAATTTCTTTCAAAGGTTTATGAATTTTGTATTCCTTTTTTCTCCCTGTACCTTACAAAACAGTGTCATCAGGCATTTGTATTCTGACAAATCATCTGATTTCTGAATTGTGTTTGAGTTCATAGTTTACAAAATATGTTCTGCAATTCAAGCACTAGGCAAATTTATTTATTCTATACCAAAACAAAACAAAACCAAAAACTAATTCTGCTCATAGTAGTTCAATTAATGTTGCCAACCAAAAATTGATTATTTTTATAGATTCTCTCTTAGTAATATATTATTACCCAGTATGTCTAATGGTTTCTTAAATTAGCCTGGTTATAAAATGCATTGAGGTTTTATAGATTATAATTGTTACAATTAAAAAGATAACATTCTGGATATGCAGAAATAAGAAAAAGAACTGGCACTTAACTGATTGCACATGGAAATACATTCAGCTAATGAAGAGACTTTATTCTACCTTTATGCATATAAATAACATTGTACTGCATTGTATAATTGTTAGCAACAACTCTTGGGCTTCAAACAAGTCATCTTGATGTATATTTGTATCCAAATGATTCTGTTCAGAATGAGATCATGATTCAGTGACCTCATTTTATACACAGCTAATGGATTCCACAGCTCACAGCTTTACTGGTTCTTATGCTTAGCACAGTTTGCTTTTTTTCTGGTGGCTTAGCAACTCACTGGTGCAGTTGTTGGCTTGCCTTTTATTATCTGTTTAAATATAAAAATTTCAGTTTGTACTGGAGCTTTAAATGCAAGCATGAGAATGGAGTATTTACTAACCCTTAAATTTCTGGTAACCTACTTTTTACATCTTTCTGTAAAACACCATTTTAAAAATATAAATTTTACCCTGAATAGACCGATTAGAGCAGAAATGTCATCAACACTTAATACTTTAACCAAATGATCAGAAGTAACATATAAATTATAATCACTAAGAAAATAATATGCATTAGTGTATGAAGTTTCTCAGCTTGCAGGATTTAAAAGCAATAAAATATAGGGACAACAATAGAGGAATTTCCAATTCAAGTGTTATATTTTGTGTTTTAATGTCCTAACTACAAGTACTGCAACTACATCATAGGAAACTTTATCATCCCTGAATAGTTTCCCATTTCGATGGAGGATAAACCATGAAAAGAAGATTATATAATCAAGGTATAAGATTATCCAGAAACTAGGCTACAACAGGGGATGCAATCAAAACTTCCACTGAATTTCCTTGCTGCTTTCTCATTTCGCTGAAGCCATTCAGTTCACTCAGTGTCATTAAGTAAAATGGAGCTCAAAAGTCAGAGCAATTACAAGGGAAATGTTGAGAAGATTCAAATTCGTCCTAAAATGAGACCCTGGTCCTGATGTTATACTATATATTAGTTTAATGTGTTTAATTTAGCAACTGCCCCTCAGCAAACACAAAATATATAATCAACTGGTTTGCCCTTAGGTTTCAGCACAACTCCTGACAATCACTTTACCTCATCTGTGTTCACCTAATGGGACTTTAACAATGCACACTGAAGTCCAGAGCCACCTGGAGTTTAATGACATAGGTTTTAAGCAACTATTATGTGGGTCTAGCATCCAATCTTAGTAAATCAGCAGTTTCCTCTTAAGACTGTACTCCAAGTGTCATGATTAATCCTGAAGTCTGGGTGTCTATTTCCGTTCTCCACATGGGCTCCTATTAAACCAGTTATTTGTATGTGTCTAAGCGTAAGAACGTGTGTACATTATAAACAGTAAATTGTTCTCAGCAGCTATGAACAGGTGGTAAGAAATTCAAAGGATAGGGCTACTGGGATATTAGCCTTTAATGGAACTTCAAAGACAATTGCTATTCTAATTAACTAGAAGAACCAAAGAGAATTCTCATCCTCTTCCCTCATCTTAGCATTGGTCAAGACTGCTAAGGTCATTCACAAACACTAATTGTTCAGAATTCTTTAATCTGTTTTATACTAATCATTGTAGTTGTTTACTGCTTCTAAACCTGGCTATCTATATTTTTGTGTGTTTGTTTTAGATTGTATTGTGAAATACAAATTCTTGACCTTTATCCCCAGAGGTTCTGCTTCAATTTTAGAAAACATCAGCATAGAATATCATGCAAATAACATACAAGGGTTTTAATGCATTTTAAATTGTACAGACTTAATTTTAAAATATGACTTAGTCTCTTAACAGACATGCTCCATCTGTTAACCTTGAAATTATACATGTATCCTTCAATTACTTGGCTAAATATCTTTTTTATTTTCTAAAAATCATTCCCAAAACTTTAATGTCAAACTTAGGTTTTGTATTTGTGTTTGATTTCATTTATTTGATACATACTGGCTTTATGATTATCATGTTTTAGTATATCACAATTATATCTGTGTCTGTCTTAGAACAAGACTATAGAAGGGATTCTGTCTTTTTATATAATATTTATATATGAGAATTCAATGTTATGCTTGATAACTTTTGAATTAGTTGGTGAATAAGGGTAGGGAAACATCTGCTCACCCTGAAAAACTAATCCAGAAATTCCCTAGATACATGTAACATGACTATAGATAAATCATACCCATTATATTCCGAACTTTGAATAATACATAATAAGCAGTGCACTATACTCAATGAGAGCAGGTAGATAGGCAAATTAAAGGTCCCAAGTTACTACTTTTACATTTGATTACGTGGAAAGACAAGTAGTCACTCATGAACATAATAACCTTCACCATTGATTTCTATGAGTCGAAGTCCCCCTGATTACAATAGCCAAAGTTTCATTACTAAAATTATTTTCTTATTGTTTCTACAGGTTAAATGCTTCCATTTGGCCCTTCTGAAATTATGTGAGGCTTTTCCAAAGGCAGTATCTCCTGTGAACATCAATGTGTAGAGAACAGACACCACTGAGATTCTCAAAGGGTATGGTATGCCCTTCACCAGTGGTTTTTGACTCTTTGAATAAGAGGAGACTACTCTATAATATCCTAAAGAATATGGTTTAGAGTCTATTCCCTAGCCTTATAAGATTAAACCATTCTAACACTTTAGTCTTTCTTTCCAAGCTTTCTCACCCCTTAATAAACACTCTGCAAAGGCAGTACCAGAATCTTTACTTAATATACTAATGACTCTCTTTGCTTACAAGCTTCAAGGTACTATTTTCAGCAAAAATTACTTTGTCTCTAGAAATCCCTGAGACTATATTGAAATACTAGTTATGGGAGAGAACTTCTATGTCAATAAATTGTCTTCTAGCCAGCCTCCCATGAGTAGTCCAAAAAATGTTGATGATTAACTTCAAACATATTCACAAGTTCATGGTGAAATGTATTAGTCAAGCTTTGCATCACTTCAACATATAAAAGTACAAAGTATATCTATATTGAGACCTGACTCTTGGTAATATGGGAAATCAATGATGGCTATTGAGGAAACAGAGAAATCAAAAGCATAAAACAAATAAACTTACATGTATATTACATTATAGATGAGTTTTGCATCTGATAAGATGGCATTCTAAATTATAGAGACAAAAATTGACTCTAAAATTTTAGAAAAACCATTCATATATCTAATTATATCTATTTAGTATATCTAATTGGAAAAACATTAAATCCATATCTTACACTATATACCAAAAATTCCAAATATATTAGAAATCTATATGTAAAAAATAAAATTATACAACTACTAAAGATAGCATTAAGAAAAAAATTTCTAAATATGATTAAACTCTAGACCCATGAAGCAAATGTAAGACCTGAAACTGTAATTGTACTAGAAAGAAACATTTAAAAAAGGCTCCACAACTTTGGTCTGGGCAATGATTTATTAGATATATTCTGAAAAGCTCAGGCAACAGAAGTAAAAATAGACAAAATGGACTGCATCAAACCAAAAACTTCTGCACAGCAAAGAAAACAAAAGAATGAAAAGACAACTCACATACTGTGAGGAAATATTTTCAAATCATACATTTGATAAAGGGCTAATATCAAAAGTATACAAATAAACCAAACAACTCAATAACAAGATCCAGCAATCCCACTGCTGGGTATCTACCCAAAGGAGAATGGACTATTATATTTAAAAGATACCTGCATTCGTATGTTTATTGCAGCACTAATCACAATAGCAAAGATATAGAATCAACCAAAGTGTCCATTTAATAGGTGACTGGATAAAGAAAATGTGTCCACCAATGGATAATTGGATAAAGAAAAAATACATATACAATAGAATATTATTCAGCCATAAAAAAGAATGAAATCATGTCTTTTGCAGCAACATGGATGAAACTGGAGACCATTATCTTACATGAAGCAGCTTGAAACCGGAAAGTGAAATACCTCAAGTTCTCATTCATAAGAGAGAGTGGGCCAGGCGTGGTGGCTAGCGCCTGTTATCCCATCATTTCGGGAGGCTGAGGCAGGTGGATGGCCTGAGCTCAAAAGTTCGAGACCAGCCTGGGCAACACGATGAAACACCATCTCTTCTAAAATACAAAATACTAGCCCATGTGGTGGCATGCGTCAGTAATTCCAGCTACTCGGGAGGCTGAGACGGGAGAATTGCTTGAACTCGGGAGAGGGAGATTACAGTGAGCCGAGATTGCGCCATTGCACTCTAGCCTGGGCAACAGAGCGACACTCTATCTAAAAGAGAGAGAGAGAGAGAGAGAGAAGAATAATAGACATTGGAGACTCAGAAGAGTGGGAGGATGGAAGGGATGGATGAGGAGTGAAGAATAAGAAATTACTCTTAATAGATAAAATGTAAATTATTTTGGTGACGGTTGCACTAAAAGCTCAGACTTTATCACTAAGCACTATATATTCCTGTAACAAAACTGCACTTGTATTCCTTAAATTCATACAAAAAAAAAAGTAGTCAAAAGACCCGTATAGGTATTTCTCAAAAGAGGACGTACAAATGGCCAACAGATGAATTAATAATGCTAAATCTCACTAATCATTAGGGACATGCAAATTAAAACCATCATGAGAAATTACTTCACACCTGTCCGAATGGCAACCATCAAAAAGACAAAAGATAGCAGCATGATTTATAGTCCTTTGGGTATATACCCAGTAATGGGATGGCTGGGTCAAATGGTATTTCTAGTTCTAGATCCCTGAGGAATCGCCACACTGACTTCCACAATGGTTGAACTAGTTTACAGTCCCACCAACAGTGTAAAAGTGTTCCTATTTCTCCACATCCTCTCCAGCACCTGTTGTTTCCTGAATTTTTAATGATTGCCATTCTAACTGGTGTGAGATGGTATCTCATTGTGGTTTTGATTTGCATTTCTCTGATGGCCAGTGATGGTGAGCATTTTTTCATGTGTTTTTTGGCTGCATAAATGTCTTCTTTTGAGAAGTGTCTGTTCATGTCCTTTGCTCACTTTTTGATGGGGTTGTTTGTTTTTTTCTTGTAAATTTGTTGGAGTTCATTGTAGATTCTGGATATTAGCCTTTTGTCAGATGAGTAGGTTGCAAAAATTTTCTCCCATTTTGTAGGTTGCCTGTTCACTCTGATGGTAGTTTCTTTTGCTGTGCAGAAGCTCTTTAGTTTCATTAGATCCCATTTGTCAATTTTGGCTTTTGTTGCCATTGCTTTTGGTGTTTTAGACATGAAGTCCTTGCCCATGCCTATGTCCTGAATGGTAATGCCTAGGTTTTCTTCTAGGGTTTTTACGGTTTTAGGTCTAACATTTAAGTCTTTAATCCATCTTGAATTAATTTTTGTATAAGGTGTAAGGAAGGGATCCAGTTTCAGCTTTCTACATATGGCTAGCCAGTTTTCCCAGCACCATTTATTAAATAGGGAATCCTTTCCCCATTGCTTGTTTTTCTCAGGTTTGTCAAAGATCAGATAGTTGTAGGTATGCGGCGTTATTTCTGAGGGCTCTGTTCTGTTCCAATGATCTATATCGCTCTTTTGGTACCAGTACCATGCTGTTTTGGTTACTGTAGCCTTGTAGTGTAGTTTGAAGTCAGGTAGCGTGATGCCTCCAGCTTTGTTCTTTTGGCTTAGGATTGACTTGGCGATGCGGGCTCTTTTTTGGTTCCATATGAACTTTAAAGTAGTTTTTTCCAATTCTGTGAAGAAAGTCATTGGTAGCTTGATGGGGATGGCATTGAATCTATAAATTACCTTGGGCAGTATGGCCATTTTCACGATGTTGATTCTTCCTAAAGACACATGCACATGTATGTTTATTGTGGCACCATTCACAATAGCAAAGACTTGGAACCAACCCAAATGTCTAACAATGATAGACTGGATTAAGAAAATGTGGCACATATACACCATGGAATACTATGCAGCCATAAAAAATGATGAGTTCATGTCCTTTGTAGGGACATGGATGAAATTGGAAATCATCATTCTCAGTAAACCATCACAAGAACAAAAAACCAAACACCACATATTCTCACTCATAGGTGGGAATTGAACAATGAGAACACATGGACACAGGAAGGGGAACATCACACTCTGGGGACTGTTGTGGGGTGGGGGGAGGGGGGAGGGATAGCATTAGGAGATATACCTAATGCTAAATGACAAGTTAATGGGTGCAGCACACCAGCATGGCACATGTATACATATGTAACTAACCTGCACACTGTGCACATGTACCCTAAAACTTAAAGTATAATAATAATAATAATAATAAAAAGAACAACAACAACAACAAAAAAGAGAAAAGATAAATTTTGGTGAGGATAGAGAGAGGACAAAATTTGTGCACATTGTTGGCATGCAGTAAATTAATATGGTCATTTTGGAAACAGTTTGGAGGTTCTTTCAAAAACTAAAAATAGAAGTACCATATGATCCAGCAATCCTACTTCTAGGTATATATCCAAAATAATTGAAATTAGTATGTTGAAGGGATATATGCACTCTCCTGTTCATTACGGCATTATGTACAACAGCCAAAATATGGAAACATCCTAAATGTCCATCAAGAAATGAGTGGATAAAGAAAACATGGTGTATATACACAATGGAGTACTATTCAGCCTAAAAAGAAGGGGACTCTATTACTTGCAGCAACATGGATAAATCAAGAAGATATTAGCCTAAGTAAAATAAGCCAAAGACAGACACAGAAAGACAAATACCATATGATCTCACTTACACATGAAATCTAAAAACATTGAGATCATAGAAGTAGAATAGAGAGGTGGTTAACACAGGCAGGTGGTGGGGGTGCATCGGGACAGGTGAGATGCTACTCAAAGCATATAAAATTTAGTTAGACAAGATAAATAAGCTCTAGTGATATTTTGCAAAGTACGATAACTATAATTAATAATAACGTATCATTTACTTCAAAATTGCTAAAATCATAGATTGCAAATGTTCTCACTACAAAGTATTCATAAGTATGTGAAGTGATGGGTATGTTAATTAATCTGTTGTGATCATTCCACAATGTATATGTGTATTATAATATACCATTAAATCCCATAAATATGTACAATTATAATTTGCCAACTAAATATAAATTTTTAAAATTTAAAAATAAGATGTGTTAAACTGTGATAGCTATTATTAAATAAAACAAAAATAGAAAAAAATTGAGAAGAAGCTATCAGAGACAAAAGATAGATAATAAAGTGGAATACAATACAGTCATGTGCCTCATAATGACTCTCTGGTCAAGGATGAAATGCATATACAATGATGGTATCATAAAATTATATTACTGTATACTTACTATACCTTTTCTATGTTTAGATATGTTTAGAGAGAGAAATAATTATCATCATGGTACAATTTCCTATTCAGTATTCAATACAGTAACATGTTGTATAGTTTTGTAGCCTAGGAGAAGTAGGCCTAGCTGTGTACTAGGCTATACCGCATGGGTTTGTTAAAGTACACTCTATGATGATCACACAATGACAAAATTGCCTAACAATGTATTTCTCACAACATAGTCCCTTCATTAAGCGAGGCATTACTCTGCCTTTCTTATGTTGAGGTACTTCCTTTCTATATCAAATTTTTGAGTTTTTATTATGAAAACGTTGAATTCTGTCAAATTTTTTTCTGCATTTATTGAAATGGTCATATAATTTTGATCCACTTTCTGTTAATATGATCACATTTATTTATTTTCATATGTTGAATCATCCTTGTTTTATAAGGATAAATCACACTTGATTATGCTGTATAATTCCTTTAATGTGATATTCAATTTGGTTTGCTAGTATTTTTGTTGAATATTTTTGCAAGTGTCTTCATCACTGGCTCATTTTTTTTTTTTTTTTTTAGAGTCCTAGTCTAGCTTTGATATTAGGGTAATGCTGGCTTTGTAAAATAGGGTGGAATGTTCCCTCCTCTTCTGTTTCTTGGAAGGACTTGAGAATTGATGTTAATTCTTCCGTAAGTGTTTGGTAGAATTCACTAGCAAACTCATCTGGTCCTGGGCCTTCTTTTGTTGGAAGTTTTTTGATTATTGATTAACTCTTTTTACTCCTTATTGGTCTGTTCAGATTTTTTATTTCTTCATGCATCAGTCTCAGTAGGTCATACATCCCTGAGAATATATCCATTTCTTCTAGGTTATTCAATTTATTCATTTATAGGTGCTACTATTAATAGCTTTTTTATTTCTGTCTTGTAAGTTGTAGTGTATCTCTTTTCATTTGTAATTGCATTTAACTGAGATTTCTCTATGTATTTTTCACAGTTTAGCTAAAGATTTGTTAATTTTATCTCTAAAAAAATCTTAGTTTCATTAATTGTTTTTGTTGTTCTCTAGTCTCTTTTTCATTGATTTCTGTTGTGATATTTATTTTTCTTTCTTTCTGCTGACTTTGAGCTTAGTTTGTTATTTTTCAAGATCTTAGGGGTATAAAGTAAGATTGTTTATTTGAGACATTTCATTTTTCTTAATGTTTTGTATGCTGTGTTTCCATTTTCAACGAATTTTATTTTTTTAACTTTCTTTTTGATTTCTTCTTGACCCAGGTTTTTTCTTGAGTGTGTTGTTTAGTTTCCACGCATTTGTGAGTTCCCCAATTTCCTCTGATTATTTATTTTTAGTTCTATACCATTGTGGCTAAGAAAGATATTTGGTTTGTTTTAATTTTTTTAAAAATGTTTTAAGTTGTGTTTTGTGTTCTAGCACATCGTCTATCCTGAAGAATGTTCCATGTGTGTTTAAAAAGAATGCGTACTCTGCTAATGTTTCATGGCTGTTCCGTATTTCTGTGAGGTCAATTCCGTCTGTAATGTTGTTCAAATTGGCCATTTATATAGTTATTTCTATGTGGATGATATTTCTATTGTTGAGATGGAGTTTTGATGCTCCCTATTATTATTGTATTGCAGTATATTTCTTCTTTCAGTTTTGTTGGTATTTACTTCTAACATTTAGGTGCTCCAAATTTTGGTGTGTAAATATTTATAATCACTGTATCTTTTTGATGAATTGACCCTTTTTTCATTATATAATGACCTTCATTGTCTCTTAGGACTGTTTTGTTTTATATCCTATATTGTCTGATATAAATATACCATTCTGGCTCCCTTTTGGTTAACAGTTGTATGAAATTCTTTTTCCAGCCCTTTACTTTCATCCTATGTGTGTCCTTAAGCTAAAATGAGTCTCTTGTAGACAATAAATCATTAGAAATTGGCTTTTTAATTGTTTCAGCCACGTTATGTCTTTTGATTGGAGAAGTTATACCATTTATACAAAATAATTCTGGATAGGTAATAACAATATTTGCCATTTTAATTTTTTTTTTTACTATTTTGTAGTTCCTTTGCTTCTTTCTTCCTCTCTTGCCTTCTTTTTTGTGAATTGATAACCCTTTGTGGTGATATGCTTTGATTCTGTTTTCTTAATCTTTTCTGTATCTGCTAAAGGTTTTTACTTTGTGTTTACTATAAGGCTTATTTACATAAAATATATCATAGTAATAACAATCTATTTTAGGCTGATAACAACTTATCTTGAATGCCTACAGAAACTTCATACCTTTTACTTCTTCCCTTCCACAACATTTTAGGTCATTGTTGTTACAATTTGCATCTTTTTAATTGTGCATTCAGTGATGAATTATTATCATTATAATTATTTTTAATATGCTTATTGTTTAATTTTAAACCAAATTTGAAAGTGATTTATGTAGTACCTTTACAATATTATAGAATACTGACTTTCACTATATATTTACTTTCATTTGTAAGTTTTTATATATTCATATATTCTTATGCTGTTAATTAGCATTCATTCATTTCCACTTCAAGAACTTCTTTTAGAGTTTCTTTTAAGTTATGTCTAGTAGTGATAAGCTCTCTTAGCTTTTGTTTGTTTGAGAAAGTCTTTATCTCATCTTAATTCCTACAGATGAATTTTGCTGGGTATAGTATTTTTAGGTGGTAGTTTTGCTTTCTTAAAAAAAATTGAATATATTATCTTACTCTCTCCTGGCCTGCAATGTTTTGATAAAAAGCCTGCTTATAGTGTAATTTTTTTTTGTATGTGATACATCACTTGTTCTTTTGATACTTTCAGTGATTCTCCTTTGTCTTTGAATTTTGACAATTTAAATATAATGCATCTGAGGGTAGATATTTTTGGGCTTAACATATTTCTTTCTCTCTTCAAATTAAAAAAAAATACCCATTATTTATTTAAATGGATTTTCCTTCTCTTTCTGGGATTTTCATAATGTGAATATTATTTTACTTTATCGTGTTCCATAAGTCCTTCATACTTTATTCTTTTTCACTCTTTTCTATTCTTCTTACTGGATAATTTCAAATGACCTGCCTTTTAGTTCACCAATTCTTTCTTCTGCTGGATCAAGTCTATTGTTGCAACTCTCTGCTGAATTTTTTTTTAATTTTTAATTTCAATTTAGGTTCAGGGGTACATATGAAGGTTTGTTACATAGGTAAACTAAAGTCACAAGGGTTTGTTATACAGATTATTTCAGCACCTAGAAATTAAGCCCAATACCCAGTAGTTATCTTTTCTGATCTATGTCCTCCCATCCTCCACCCTCAAGTAGACCCCAGTGTCTGTTGTTTTATTTTTTGTGTTCATAAGTTCTTATTATTTATCTCCCACTGATGAGAACATGGGTATTTGGTTTTCTGTTCCTGTGTTAATTTGCTAAGGATCATGGCCTCCAGTTTCATCCATGTTCCCACAAAAGACATGATTTCATTCTTTTTTGTGCCTGCATAGTATTCCATGATGTGTATGTACCACATTTTCTTTATCCAATCTGTCATTGATGGGCATTTAGGTTGAGTCCATGTCTTTTCTATTGTAAACAGTGCTCCAGTGAACATTTGTGTGTATATGTCCTTATGGTAGAATGATTTATATTCCTCTGAGTCTATACCCAGTCATAAGATTGATGGATCAAATGGTAGTTGCGCTGCTAGCTCTTTGAGGAATTGCCATACTGGTTGAACTAATTTACACTCCCAACAGCAGTGTATAAGTGCCCCTTTTTCTCCACAGACTAGCCTACATCTGTTATTTTTTTTTATTTTTTGGAGATAGCCACTCTGACTGGTGTGAGATGGTATCTCGTTTTGGTTTTGATTTGCATTTCTCTAATGATCAGTGATATTGAGATTTTCTTCATATGTGGCTGGCTGCATGTATGTCTTTTTTTGAAAAGTGTTTATGTCCTTTGCCCACTTTTTGATGGGGTTGTTTTTCTCTTATAAATTTGGTTAAGTTCCTTATAGATGCTAGATATTGGACCTTTGTCAGATGCATGGTTTGCAAATATTTTCTCCCATTCTGTAGGTTGTCTGTTTATTCTATTGATAGCTTCTTGTGCTGTGTAGAAGCTCCTAAATTTAATTAGATCCCACTTGTCAATTTTTGCGTTTGTCGCAATAGCTTTTCATGTCTTTGTCATAAAATCTTTGCCTGATTCTATGCCCAGGATGGTATTGCCTTGATTGCCTTCCAGGGTCTTTATAGTTTCAGGTTTTACATTTAAGTCTTTAATCTATTTTGAGTTGACTTTTGTATATGGTGTAAGGAAGGGGTCCAACTTCGGTGTCTTCTGCATATGGCTAGCCATCTACTGAATTTTTTAATTCAGTCACTATATTCTTCATCTCCAAGTTTTTAATGGTTACTGTCTCTGTTGAATTTCTCATTTTTATATGTATTGTTGTCACAATTTTATGCATGTCTATCCATGTTCTCTTGTAATTTACTGAACTTCTTTAAGAGGTTTATTCCGAATTCTCTGTCAGTCAGTTAATAAATCTTCATTTGTTTAGGGTCCATTATTCTTTGTTTCCTTTGGTGGTGTCTTATTTTCCTGATTCTTCATAGTCCTTGTATTCTTGCAGTGTTGTCTTCCCATTTGAGGAGGCAGCCATCTCTTCTGGACTTGATAGATTTATTTTGGTAGGAAAATAATTTTATCAATAAGTTCATCCTGGGGTTCTGAAGGTGCCAGCTGTCAATGTGTATAAATAGGCAGGGCTCTCTATCAGGTGCTTTAGTTGGGCAGGGCTGTTGCCTACAATCCAAGGTCAGATAGTTTCACTGGCTGAGCTCCATATTCGGGAAAATCCTCTTGCTTGGTTTCATGATTGCTTCTGGTTGATCAGGACAGCACCCTGTGCTCTTAAGTCAGGTGTTGCTGCTGATTGGACTCAACAGTTGGGTAGGCCACAAGTTGGGTCCTGCCATAGCCCCTGGTTTAGTGAAATCCCAGGCTGTACTCTCTGGCTAGATGGTGCTGCTAGCTAGATCCCATGTTTTAACAGGGCTGCAGGTGGTAGTGGTCAGTGGCTTCATTCCACACTTAGGTGGGGTAACTGGCTATATTTCATGTTCTGGTGGAGTTTCCATCTGGGATTACTGCTCAAGTGGGGTGAAGTCTGTGCTCCGCAATTGGGTGGGGTTGCTAGCTGGGCTCCATGATCAGGCAAAGCTGGAGGCTGTTCTCTGTGGTCTGCAGGATAGCCAATCTGGTGTGGCTCCAGGTTATACTCTGTGATTGGTTGAGGTCAGTAGCTGGACTTCCTGCTGAGGCATAGTCACAGATTGTGCTCAGCAAATGGGTGGGGCTGTGGGCTGGGCTCCACTGTTTATTTTTTCTGTAGCATGGGCTCCACAGGCAATCCAGATAATTAGCTGGGCTCTCTGATTGTGTGGGCCCAGGGCGGGCCCCACAGTAGATCACGGTTATTGGCTAGGTTTTCTGTCTGGGCAGAGCTGTAGACTATGCTCCAATGTTTGGTGGGGTTTCTGTTTGAGCTCTTTGGTCAAGAGTGGCTAGAAGCTATGCTTTGAAAGTAGTGGGGTTACTGGCTTAGCTCACAGCCTGAGTCAAGCCTGCACTCTAAAGCTGGACCAGGGTACTGGCTACCAACCCAAGCTGGTCAGAACTGTTGATTGTGATTCCTGATATGATGATGCCATGGCTCAGCTGTGTGGGTGGTTGAAGCATCTGACTTTTCTCACTGTTTATACAATGCTTCTAGCAAAAATGTGGTGCCATTACCAAGACCCAGTGCTGGCTGTTGTAAGCCTTGTCCCTGTTCTTTGTTTCTAGCTGACAAAAGGTAGTCTAGCCCTGCTGATTTCACAGATTTCTTTGTAAGGCAAGACAGAAGTAGGCCTCCCAGGAAGTTCCTCAGAATGCTGAAGAAGCTGAATGTATGCCTTGGGCTCTCTTTGTTCTACTGGAGGAAATGTGGGCCTAGGCGAACCCTCTCAGTGTGGTGCTCTGCCTGCCTGAGGAAGAGGCAATGCCATCAAAATAAATATGTTCCTCTGAGCCCTCTTATGTGGCTTTTCTTAGGTTTTGTGGTCCAAGAGGGTGCTTCATCTTTATCTCCAGTTTCTGGGATTTTCACAAAGACATTTTTTTGTCTGTGAGTAGTTGCTACGTAAACTCTTTGTGAGGAGGGCTAAAGCTAGGGACCTCCTATTGTGCCATCTTGCTATTTTCACTCTGCTCTAATGAGAAATATTCTGAAATTTCTCCAGTTTCTAGTTGTCCTTAGCATCTTCATTATTCAATCAGGAATTTGCTCAAATAGACGCACAGATTGTCTAGTGTCATTTGTTGGATCCCAGAATAGATTTAGCCCTTATCAATTTTCTATTTTACCTGCTACTTTGAAGGGAGGAGAAGATCTAAAGTACATTTTTTTCTTTGTTTGCTTGTCTTTTAAGTTGATGTCCCTTGGTAAATGACTCTCAACTAGTCACTGCTATAGTCTGGATCTTAGTTGCTATATCTGTTGGTCCTATAAGCCTGAAAAGGAAGAACAGCAAAGTGTCTCTAGAGCGGGGACAAGCTCTAAACAAGGTGATGGAAAACACTCAAGAGAGGAGCTGAGGTGACTGTGGGCACTCTCCACTGAGGCCACCAATTCTTGAGGCTTAACATGTCTGTGAGGCTATATCCCTGAGATTGCAGCCCAGCGCACAGTACTCACTCTGTTGCAGACACAGCACTGATACACAGGTTGATGTTGCAGTGAGGCTAAATTCTACATTGTTAAGTCAAAAAGCTACTGGGAAACACTGTCTACAGTAAGTCCTTTTTTATGTAAAAAAATATAAAATAAAGGTGTACAGTGGTGAAAATGCATGCATTTGCTTGTGTATGTATAATAGAAATGATGATAAATGAATGAATATATTTACCTATGTAATTTAGTTGGAGCTCAGTTGGGGAAGATAAGAAGAAAGTTACTACTCTAAGTCCTGTATAACTGTTCGTATAATTTTGACTTTAAAAACCATATTATGGTTTATATGTTCAAGCAAATCAATCAAAAAGAATGGCAGGAAAAAAGAAAAACTTCATACTGAATATAAACAAAAAATTGAATATGATTTTATATAAAATTCTAACATAATCACAGAATTTTAGAAAAGAAAGAACTTTTAACAAGTTATTTTCATTGTATATCTTTAATTGTATATATTGTGAAGATAAAACAAAAGAACTGCAAAGATAATTTGCACTTTAATCAGTAAGGCTGTTTTTGGTAGTGTCACAAATCTGAAACTATTTTCTGCCTACTATACGATTGACAAATAAGCAATATACTGATGTCTAGAAGAATTAGATGTTTCCAGATAGGAGAAACAAGATACAAATATTAAATGAAAAAAGATAAAAAGAACTTTATAGCTTTGGATTGGAAAAAGACTTATCATTATTAACTCGAAATAACATAATGTGATGTTTGGTGTGATATAATATAATCTATATCTTAATAGCAGTAAAAAACAAACAAACAAACAAACAAAACCAACCAAACAACACCTAGGATCTAGATATTGATTTCTAAATACTATTTTCCATGGGAAGGAACCAAGGATCATTTGGATAATGCCATTTTCTAGACTGGTGCAAGGGAAGTATAAATGATGCATAAACCAACTTTCTCTGCTATAAAAGTGTTTAAGAAATGAGGAGATGTTTCTAGCATACAGGAGCTAGCTTGAAATGTTTCCCATTGGCAAACCTCTGTAAATATGAGTGGAGCACGTATGGATGTTCATCTTATTAGTTTTACCAGTAGTTTGTGTGTTTGAAATTTTTTCAAATAAATACCTTGAAATATTATAAGACCCTTTAATAAGTGAGCTAAGACCATTCACATTTACGGATAGAAGTAAAGATTTGTTACAATTTTTGCATATTATCTTATTATTAAAATGCATATTATGCTATTTTTACTGTTTTTGCCTCAAAGTTGCCTGTCTTTTAACTTTTAGATTCTCAGGGTATTTTTGGTTCTGACAGTTCAATATTTGTGCTAATGACTGACATTATACTAATAACTTTTATAATGTTTATAGTGGCTTTTTATTTTACTTAAATTTCCAATATTTAATTTTTATGATATAATGTGACTTTTTTCTTATTAACTATGCAAAATAATTTGGGTTTATTCCACTTTCTATGTTGTTTGTTCTTCCTCTTCATCTTTTTAGTCATCACATTTCTAATATGTAAAAATATGATATCTCCATATTTTTATCCTACAGGTTTATCTGGTTTTATAATTTTCTTTAAAGTAATTAAATATAATCATGCTTACTATCATATATGTTGCCAGTTTTCTCAGCCATTAATGGGTTGCTTGAAGCGTATCTTCTAGTATAGTCATTTGAAAAGGTCTACGACTATAGCTCTCTTCCAGTTACTAAATGTTTAAAACTCTTTCAATAAGATTGATATTTGGATCACTTTTTCTTTTATTGAGTTGCTTTAAAATATAACTTTTCACTGTTATGTTGTTTTACATGGTTTTGCCAAGAAATCTAATCCTAATATAATTTTCTTTCTTTCAGAATATACTTAGAATTTCTTTGAAATCCTTCAGTATATATTTTCATATTAAATTACTAGAACATTTATCAGAAATGATGACTTAACAACAGATCTCCTGAGTACATTTTGAATATGGAGATTCAATTTATGAGTATGTGTGTATATTTATGGAAAGATAGTTTGCTTGGTTTATATTTTTAAAAACTATTCTCGTCTATTTTGTTTTTCTTTTACATAAAATCTACCTACAGGTACACTAGGGCTTGTATTCTTATATATAGATCATTTCTGTAATGCTTTATCTTTTCTAATTTTTGTACTTTTGGCAACTTTCATTTATTCTTTAAATATTATTTACAACTTTATAGATATTTTTACTCTACCTATCAAGGATTCAATTCTAAAATGATATTTTTGTTTTCCCTTAATTTTCTTTTTTGTAAACTTTTATTTTAGGTTAATGGTTACATGTACATTAATGTACACGTACATTATAGGAGTCCCTAATCAAGAGGTCCTCCCATTGAACAGAAGCAGGAATTAAGACCTGCATGGAAAACAATCTGGCCACTTTCCATGGGGTGGTTGCACTGTGCTGGGGGTTGCATCAGTTTCTAATAACTGTATACCCTCCAGAGCTTGAGGGCAGCAGTGGCCAGGACTGTGGGAAAGCAAAAATGGCAGCCCGGTAGGGAGTGGTGGCTCACACCTGTAATCCCAGCACTTTGGGAGGCCGAGGCAGGCAGATCACTTGAGGTCAGGAGGTTGAGACCAGCCTAGCCAACATGGCAAAACCCCGTCTCTACTAAAAATACAAAAAAAATAGCCAGGCGTGATGGTGTGCATCTGCAGTCTCAGCTACTCGAGAGGCTGAGGCAGGAGAATCGCTTGAACCTGGGTGGCAGAGGTTGCAGTGAGCTGAGATCAGAGATCATGCCACTGCACTCCAGCCTGGGCAAAAGAGCGAGACTCTGTCCGACCCCCACCCCAACCCCCCACCACCAAAAAAAAAAAAAAAAAAAAGAAAGCCTTCTCTCTCTGGGAAATTACTCCCAGGAGAATGCAGAGCTGCTACTGGCCCAACAGCCCAGGCAGGGAATGGCTGGAGTCCTGTGCCAGTGGGCCTTACCCTCCAAGATGCAGTGGAAGCTGGATCTTCAGTCTCTTGCTACCCAGTCCCTTGGATTTGGCTTCTTTCTTGGGTGCATGCAAGGGAGCATGACTTCCCTCATTGCCGGAGATGCAGCTGCTAATGCCAGGATGCCTGGAGGTCCAAGTTCCCTGGGATTCTACGTATGCCAGAGCGGCAGCTCTGCCCTGACTCCACATAGCTCTCTGGGTCAGTCTGGATGTTGCTGTGGTGTGGACTCACAAGGGGATCTCCTGATCCCAAGGTTGCAATGGTCCATGGCAGAAGCGAGGGTCCACAGGGATTCTGACTCACTCACCTTTTCATGTGATGAGGTGGCCTCAGAGCCACTCCTGGGTGGGAAGTAATCTTGTCTTGCTCCTCTCCATTCTTCTTGGGTCCAGCTGTTTCTTTGATCAATCCTGTTGTATCCACCTGGCTCTTCCACTTGAAGATCTAGTATTTACTTGCCACTCTATCTCCTCTCTGTGAGAGCAGTGCATACTGGCTCCTCTTAGTCATCTTTGCACTGCCCTAATTTATTTTCTTAGTTTGATAAACTACATTTTACATGTACCTGTCAGGTCTATTATGGGGAGGTAAGTTTACTGATTGAAAATAATATGAGATCTTGAGACATAGAATATAAGTATTTAGGACACAGGTGAGTCTGAGATATTTGAATCCCACTTTCATTTATCTGTGAAAATCTTCAAAGAAGCAATGATTTATTCATTTTTAAAAATAATTGATTTAATTGATTGTGTGTCAGTTGTATAATTTTTCTGGTGGTCTTCCGGTTTTCACTTACGCGGTTGCAATCAGGATAAGGTAAACATGGGGTTAGGCTTAGGTAGGGCATTTGGAAAGATGGACCCCTTTTTCATTATATTCATTCTCCTGACCTACTTTACAAGATGGAACAGAGCAGAATTTTTGAGGTTGCAGGGGAAAGCTGTAAGGTCTAGGACTCCGAATTCATGCAACATCACTTCCACTATATTCTATTGCTCAAAACATTCAGAAAGCCTGTAAAGTTTTAGAAAAGTCTCATTACAAAGCAGTATATGTACAGGGATAGGAGGAATTCCTTCGCATTAAACAATCTGTCCTTGACTATCATACACACGCACACACACGTGCATGCACACACACACAAACACACACTAAAAAACAAAACAGTATAGATTAGGAATTCTTCCTAAACTTCCCTTGTTAGAATAATCAAATCCCTTCTAATTTCAGATAGCCAGGTCTTTTATTTCTTCTGGTTTTCTATGAACTTTTGGAACATGCCTCCTAAGCTGAGGATGTGTGCCCTTAACAATCACTGTCAGTTTCATGTTGCATCTAGTTCCATCTAGACCCCTATTGAGACATAGATGTCATCACTGCATTGCATAGAAAAACGGCATAGCACAGAAAAGTTCTACTCTGGAAGAAAGACGATATACCATAGAGGTACAAGTACTTACCAATTTTTCTTGGTAATAACTAAGGGTCATGTAAATGCTAAGAACATCAATTAAAGCAAGGAAGATAAAATACAAATGTCAATTTGGGCAGATTCAGTAACATGAATTCCCTTTCCTGAGACTTGGAAGTTAATGTCTCTGATCTGTAACAAAGAAAAACTATTGCATTGAACTAGTTTAGATTCATTGATGGCCTATATTTGATAAGCTTGAAATCAGGGAACATCACTAATGAAGAAAGCATTCCAAAATATAGGAGATAGAAATTTTAAAATAAATTTATTATACAATTTATGGTATATAGTAATTGTGTAGAGGATATATCTATTTACTATGGCTTTTATAATACCTAGCCCACAAATTGGATTTGACTCCACACTTAGTCTTTTAGACTCTTCCAAGCTAGTTATGTATATATTCAGTCACACACAGAATCTTTCTCAAAAAATTTTGGTGAAGACTTTAAAAGTTAAGTCATGTTAACTGGTTATCTCAATAAATGTAAAATACATGGTAGTTCTTTTCATCACAACATTTACACTAGTTCACAAATAAAGGAAAGAATCACCAAGGCAAATTTAAAAAAATACAACGTTGAAGGATTACATCACTGAATACTGAGATATTATAAAATTGTAGTAAATATGATAGGATAGTATTTGCTTATGGATTGAGATAGATCAAAGTAATTATATTGAAAGTTCAGAAATCATCCATAAATATATGAACATATGATTTATGCTAATTGGATGCATATAAAATAGAGTAAAAAAGGACTGTATTTTCAATAAATATTTCTAAGTCAATTGTGTATCACTGTAGAAAAATACATAACTTGATGCTTATCTCAGACCATACATAAAAATGAAGTCAAATGGATTATAAGTGTGTATATTATAGGTAAAATAAAAAAGACTCTGAAAGATAAATATAAGAATATATCCGTGACATTGATTGAACTTTTTAACAGAACAGAAAAATTAATAACCATAAAATAATGTATTGGTAATTTGACAAATTATAGAGCTATTTGTTTATTGAAACAAAAAAGGAACAAAATCAAAACAAGGACAAGCTACATCAGTGAAGAATAAATGATATTGATTCTTTCAATTCATGAGTATGGGATGTTTTTCCATGTATTTGTATCATCTCTGATTTCTTTGAAAAGTATTTTGTAGTTCTTCTAGGAGAGATCTTTCACCTCCTTGGTTAGCTGTATTCCTAGGCATTTAATTTTTTTGTGGCTGTCATAAAAGGGATAATGTTCTTAATTTGACTCTCAGCCTGAATGTCACTGATGTATAAAAATGCGGCCGGGCGCGGTGGCTCACGCCTGTAATCCCAGCACTTTGGGAGGCCGAGGCGGGCGGATCACGAGGTCAGGAGATCGAGACCATCCTGGCTAACAAGGTGAAACCCCGTCTCTACTAAAAATACAAAAAATTAGCCGGGCGTGGTAGCGGGTGCCTGTAGTCCCAGCTACTCGGGAGGCTGAGGCAGGAGAATGGCGTGAACCCAGGAGGCGGAGCTTGCAGTGAGCCGAGATCGCGCCACTGCACTCCAGCCTGGGCGACAGAGCGAGACTCCGTCTCAAAAAAAAAAAAAAAAAAAAAATGCTACTGATTTTTGTACAATAATTTTGTATTCTGACACCTTGCTAAAAGGTTTACACAGATGTTGTTCTAGAACCAAGAAACTATTAAATTAGAAGTAGAAAAAAATTATGCATTTGTTTAGAAATTAATAAAAACACTTCTAATTAACTCATGAATATAAGAAAAAATTTATAATTTTTAATTATTTATTTTAATTTTTGACTCTTGTTATGAATATACACCAGTATATATTTATTGTATACATGTGATATTTTGATAAAACCATACAATGCATAATGATTAATCAGGGTAATTGTGCTATTCATCACCTCAAGCATTTATCATTTCTTTATGTTAGTGACATAATTTGGATATTTGTCCCCACTCAAATCTCATGTTGAAATGTAATCTCCAGTGTTGGATGTGGGGTGGTGTTTGGATCATGAGGGCAGATCTGTCATAAATGGCTTGAGCTATCCTCTTGGTAATAATTGTGCTCTTGCTCTGAGTTCACATGAGATTTGATCATTTAAAAGTGTATGGATCCTCCTTTGTCTTCCTCTTGCTCCTGCTTTCTGCACTGTATGTGTCTGCTCCCCCTTCGATTTCCATCCTGATTGTAAGGTTTCTGAGGCACCCCTAGAAGCTGAGCAGATGCCAGCACTATGCTTCATATACAGCCTGAAGAACCATGAGTCCCAGTCTCAGGTATTTTGTTATAGCAATGCAAGAACAGCCTAACACAGAATATAGGTACTAATAAGTGAGGCATTTCTGTAAAGATACCTGAAAAATGTGGAAGCAATTTTGCAACTGGGTAACAGGCAGATGTTGAAAGAATTTGGAGGGCTTAAAAGAAGACAGAAAAATGAGGGAAAGCTTGGAACTTCCTAGAGATTGGTTAAATGGTTGTGACTGAAATACTGATAGTGCTATGGACAGTGAAGCACATGGTGAAAAGGTCTCAGATGCAAATGAGGAGCCTATTGGGAACTGGAGCAAAGGTCACACATGTTATGCTTTAGCAAAGAGCTTGGCTGCATTGTGTCCATGCCCTAGGGATTGGTGAAAGTTTGAACTTTAGAATGACAAATTAGGGTATCGGATGGAAGAAATTTCTAAGCAGCAAAGCATTCAAAATGTGCTCTTGCTGCTTCTAACAGCCTGTGCTCAAATTCAGGAGCAAATAAATGACTCGAGTTTGTATTTAAAAGGGAAGGACAGCTTGAAAATTTGGAAAATGTGCAGCCTAGCCATGTGACAAAGAAAGACAAAGTTTTTGGCGTTTTGTTTTGTTTTTTTTTTTTTTAGATGGAGTCTAGTGCTTTTGCCAGTTTGGAGTACAGTGGCACGATGTCAGCTCACTGCAACCTCCACCTCCCTGATTCAAATGATTCTCCTGCCTCAGCCTCCCATGTAGCTGGGACTACAGGTGTGTGCCACCATGCCCAGCTAATTTTTGTATTTTCAGTAAGGATGGGGTTTCATCATGTTGGCCAGGATGGTCTCGATCTCTTGACCTCATGATCTGCCTGCCTTGGCCTCCCAAAGTGCTGGGATTACAGGCATGAGCCACTGCACCCAGCCCAAAAAGCTTTTCTGGGAGAGAAATTAAAGCAGACTATGGAGCAACCACTTGCTAGAGAGATTTTCATAACTAAAAAGGAGGCAAATGCTAATATCAAGACAATGTGAAAAAGACCTCAAAGGCATTTTAAAGACTTTTGCAGCAGCCCCTCCCATCACAGGCCCAGAGGCCAAGGAGGGAAGAATGGTTTTGTAGGCCAGGCCCAGGGCTCTGTCATCCTTGACAGCCTCATGACACAGCTCCCTGCATCCAGATGTTTCAGCTCCAGCTGGGGATCAAAGGGGCACAGGTACATCTTGGGCTGCCACTTTGGAAAATTCAAACCATACACTTAGGTGGCCTTAAGGTGGTGGAGTGCAAGAGCAATGTGTGTTCTTGGCTGTCTCTCCCTAGATTTTAGAGGATGTATGGAAAAGCCTGGGTGTCCAGGCAGAAGCCTGCTGCAAGGGTAGACCCTTCACAGAGAACATTTACTATAGCAATGTGAGGGCAAAGGTGAGGCTGGAGACCCCACAAGGTGTCCCCACTGGGGTACCACCTAGTGGAGCAATGAAAAGGTTGCCAATTATCTTCCAGACTCGAGAATGGTAGATCCACATGCAGCTTGCACTGTGCATCTAGAAGAGTCTTAGGTGCTTGGCAACAAGCTGTTAGAGCAGCTGGGTACCCTGCACCCTGTGAAACTACAGGAGGAGAGCTGTCCTAGGCCTTGGGTGCCCACCCCTAGGACAAGTGTACCCTGTATGCAGGATATGTAGTCAAAGGAGGTTACTTTTAAACTTTAAGATGTAGTGACTGCCCTACTGGGATTCAGACTTGCCTGAGGTTTATAGTCCCTTCCTTTTGGCCAATTTCTCTCATTTGAAATGGCAATGTTTACCCAACACGTATACCTCCATATCTTGGAAATTAATAACTTGTTTTAAATTTTATAGGCTCATAGGTGAAAGAGACTTGCCTTGTCTCAGTTGAGACTTTGAACTTTTGAATTAATGTTAGAATGAGTTAAGACTTTGTAGGACTCTTGGGAAGGAATGGTTGTATTTTGCAATGTGAGAAGGACATGAGATTTAGGGAGGCAGGGGTGGAATGACATAGTTTAGATATTAGTCTTTATCCAAACCTCATATTGAAATATAAACCCCAATATTGGAGGTGGGGCCTGGTGCAAGGTGTTTGGATCATGGGAGCAGATCTCTCATGAGTTACTGTGTCATTGTCTTCTTGACAGGTGAGCTCTCATTTAGAGAATCTGAGTTTACATGGAATCTGGTCATTTCAAAGGGCATTGCACCTATTCCCTACTGAGGCCTCCCTGGAAGCCAAGTAGATGCCACCACCATGCTTCTTGTGAATTCTGCAGAGCCGTAAGCCAATTAATTTTTTTAAATAAATTACCCAGTCTTAAGTATTTTGTTATAGCAAAGCAAAAACAGCCTAATACAGTTAGGGACAGTCTATATTTTAGGGTTTTTTTGAAATATACCATAAATCATTATTAACCACAGTCAGCCTATTGTGCTACTGAACACTAGATCTTATTTCTTTTATACAGTTTTTTGTAATAATTGATGATGCCCTTTATTCCTCACTCCCCACTATCCTTGTCAGCCTCTCTAACCACATTCTATTCTCTGTTCCCATGAGGTTAATATTTTTTAGCTCACACTTAAGAGTGAGAGCATGTGATATTTGTCTTTCTGTGCCTGACTCATTTCACTTAACAGTGTCATTTTCCATCCATGCTGTTGTGACAGAATTTCACATTTAATGGCTCAATAATATTCCATTGTGTATATGTACCACATTTATTTATCCATTCATATGCTGGTGGACACTTTCATTGATTCCTGATTGAGAATAGGGATGCAATAAACATACTAGTGAAGATCTCTCTTTGATATACTGATTTCCTTTTTAAGATATGTACCCAGCTGTGGTACTTCTGAATATTATGGTAATTCCATTTTTAGTTTTTTGAGAAACCTACATATTGTTTTCCTTAGTAGCAGTACACATTTACCTTTCCACCACCAGCATATGAGAACTCCCATTTCTTCACATCCTTGCCAGAACCTGTTATATAGGCTGCCTATTCCATAAAAGATTTTAACTGGGGTGAAGTGGTATCACATTGTAGTTTTACTTTTCACTCCTCTGATGATTAGTGATGCAAAACTTTTTTTCATATACCTGTTGGACATTCATGTGTCTTTGTATTAGTCTGTTCTCACATTGCCATAATTAAATACCTGAGCCTGGGTAATTTATAAAGAGTTTTAATTGGCTCAAGTTTCCACAGACTTATAGGAAGCATGGCTGGGGAAGACTCAGGAAATTTATAATCGTGATGGAAAGCAAAGGGGAAGCAGGCATGTTTTACATGGCCAGAGCAGGAGAAAGAGAGAGAGCAGAGTGGTGCTGCACACTTTTTTTTTTAAATTATACTTTAAGTTTTAGGGTACAAGTGCACAACGTGCAGGTTTGTTACATAGGTATACATGTGCCATGTTGGTGTGCTGCACCCATTAACTCGTCATTTAACATTAGGTTTATCTCCTAATGCTATCCCTCCCCCATTCCCCCACCCCACAACAGGCCCTGGTGTGTGACATTCCCCTTCCTGTGTCCCTGTCTTCTCATTGTTCAATTCCCATCTATGAGTGAGAACATGCGGTGTTTGGTTTTTTGTCCTTGCGATACTTTGCTGAGAATGATGGTTTCCAGCTTCATCTATGTCCCTACAAAGGACATGAACTCATCATTTTTTATGGCTGCATAGAATTCCATGGTGTATATGTGCCACCTTTTCTTAATCCAGTCTATCATTGTTGGACATTTATGTTGGTTCCAAGTCTTTGCTATTGTGAATAGTGCCACAATAAACATACGTGTGCATGTGTCTTTATAGCAGCATGATTTATAATCCTTTGGGAATATACCCAGTAATGGGATGGCTGGGTCAAATGCTATTTCTAGTTCTAGATCCTTGAGGAATTGCCACACTGACTTCTACAATGGTTGAACTAGTTTACAGTCCCACCAACAGTGTAAAAGTGTTCCTATTTCTCCACATCCTGATTTTGTGACCTGCAAATGTAATGACTTAATGAGTTCTAAAAATTTTATGTTTTTTTTTCCTAGATACAAGTTCCTGTCATCAACAAAGAGGGACAATTTAAATGCCTCTTTTCCAATTTAAATGTCTTTCTTTCTTTTTCTTACCTTACTGTTTTGGCTAGAATTTCCAGTACTATGTTAAAGGGAAGTGGGGAAAGTATGCATCCTTGCCTTGATCCAGATCTTAAAGGAAATATTTCAACTTTTCCACTTTCAGTATCATGTTACCGGTAAGTTTGTCATATATGGCCTTTATGATTTTAAGATATGGTCCTTCAATGTCTATTTTGTTGAGTTTTTTTAATCAAAAAAGGCTGTTCAATTTTAACAGGTTATTTATCTGTAGCTATTGCAATGATCATATGGTTTTTTTGTCATTCTGTTGATGGTGATGTATCACATTTATTGATTTTCATATGTGAAACCATCTTAACAACCTGGAATAAACCTTACTTGATCACAGTGTATTATCTTTTTGATATGCTGTTGGATTTGGTTTGCTAGTATTTTGTTGAGAATTTTTGCATCTAACTTGTTTAGTTTGTTCTTTTCCTATTTACTTCAGGTATAATGTTATTTGAAATCTTTCTGCTCTTTTAATGTGAGTGTGTATTTTTATAAATATTTATCTTAGAACTTTTGCTGTATCCCATAAGTTTTGATATGTTATGTTTTCATTTACCTCAAGATATTTTGAAATTTTCCTTTTAATTTCTTATTTGACACATTGGTTGTTCAGAAGCATCAGTAGCATGGTGCATAAGTAGCCTGGGAGCAACAGTCTCCATTTAGCCACAGTATGTACAAGGTTGTGTTATCTATGTTTATGTAAGCAAACTCTATGATTCTACACAATGATGAAATTGCCTAATGACACATTTCTCAGAATGCATTCACATTATTAAGCAACACATGATTATATTTGTGAATTTTTTTGAAATTCCTTGTTATTGATTTCCAGTTTTGTAGCATTGTTATTAGAAAAGGTTCTTTATATGATCTCAATCTTCTTAAATTTTCTAATACTTACCTTGTGACCTGACATACAATTTATCCTGGATAATATTTTTTGTGTACTTGAGAAAATTGTGTATTCCATTGCTATTGGAAGAAATATTCTGCAAATGTCTGTTAGGTTCATTTGTTCTAAAGTATTGTTCAAGTCCAGTTTTTCCTTATTAATTTTCTGTTTGGATGATATTTTTATTGTTGAATGTATTTGTTATTGAAGTGCTTTTCTATTATTGTATTGAAATCTACCTCTTCTTTTTAGATTTTTGAATATCTGCTTTATATGGTAGGTGTTTCCGTATTGGGAGAAACAGTCAACCCTTTGTATCTGAGGGCTCTGCATCCACAGATCTACCAATCAAAACTACTTTTTAACAGACAATAAAAAGATGAATAAAAACGATACAAATAGAAAACAATAGAGTATAATTACTGTTTGTGATAGTATTTACATTGTATAGGTATTATAAATAATTTAGAGATGATTTAAATTATATGGGAAGGTATGAATTAGTTTTATGCAAGTACTATTCAATTTTATATAAGATACTTGAGCATTCACCAAGTTGTGTATTTTCAGAAGGTTCTGAAATGAATGCCTGATAGCAAGGGGTGACTTCACATAACAATTTTTATACTATTTTGAAGAATTGATCCATTTATCATTATATAATGTACTCCTTTTTTTTCTATTTACAGATTTTGACTTAACGTTTATTTTGTCTGATATAAGTATAGCTACTTTTGCTTTCTTTTGGTTTTCATTTATGTGGAATGCCTTTTTCCATACCTACACTTTCAATCTGTCAATGTCCTTAAAAGCAAGGTAAATTTTTGTAAGCAGCATATACTTTGTCTTCTCTTTTTTATGCATTCAGTCACTTTATTTTTATATTGGAGAACCCAATCCATTCACATTCCTGTTAACTATTGACAGGTAATGACTTACTACTAATATTTCATTAATTATTTTCTGGTTGCTTTGTTTTTTACTTCTTTTCTTGTTGTGTTCCTTTGTGGTTTGATATTTATCTGTATGCTTTGAATTCTTTTTACTTTTAGTTTGTGCATTTACTAAAGACTTTGCTTTTTCGTTACCACGAGGTTTATAAAAAATATCTTATAATAGTCTGTTTTAACCTAACAACAAGTTAACTTTGATTGCATACAACTCAACACTTTTACTCCTTTTCCAACAATTTATGTTTACGATGGCAGAATTTACATTTTGTAATATATATTTCTTGACAATTTATTTTAGCTATAGTTATTAATCACTTTGTCTTTTAACTGTCTTATTAATGATAAATGTGCTTTATACACCAGCATTACAGTCCTAGAGTATTCTAATATAGATCTGCATTTCTTATACCATTGAGTTTTCTACTTTCATAAATTTTATGTTGTTACTATTATGAGCCTTTTGTTTCAGCTTAAATAACTCCTTAAGCAATTTTCCTTAGAGGCATACCCAATGATCATTAACTCCCTTGGCTTTAATTTGTCTCAGAAACTTTTTATTTTTTCCCCATTTCTGAAAAATAGCTTTGCTGGATAAAGTATTCATGAGTGGCAGTTTTGTTTTTCCTTCAGCACTTTGAGTATATCATCCCATTTTCTCCTGACTTGCATAATTTCTGCTGAGAAATCCACCAGTAGTCATACTTACACTTTTTTAATGTGATGAATTTATTATCTCTTTATGCTTTTACACTTATTTCTTTGTCTTTGTGTTTTGATAGTTTGAGTACATGTCTTGATGGACTCTCTGGGTTTCATGTTATTGGAGACCTCTGCAATTTCTGTACCTGGATGTTGACATCAGGAATATTTTCAGCCATTATTTTTTAAAATAGACTTTTTGGCTCTTTTTCTCTTGCTTCTTCTCCTTATTTAATTTTAATTATTTTAATGTTTGATCTCTTGATGGTGCTCCATAATTTTTATAGGCTTTCTTTATTGTTTTTCATTCTCTTATCTCTTGCTTCTCTGATTGAATAGTTTTGAATATTCTGTTTTTGAGTTCAATAATCTTTGCTTCAGCTTGATTGAGCCTACTGTTAAAGCTTTCTATTGTGTTTTTGATATCAGTTGTCTTGTTCATCTCTAGGATTTCTATTTTCTTTCTTAAATTATTTCCCCTTGTTTGTCCAACTTCTCATTTAATTCCTGTATTGCTTTCCACATTTTATTTCTTATTCATCTATTTTTTGGAGTTGGCTAAACTTTTGTAGAATTCTTCTGAATTCTCTGAGTTTGAGTGGAACAGCTGCATAAGCTCTGCTGTCCGCTGATACCACTGGCTGAGCTCATCAATCAGGCTGAGAGACTGGATGAATCCTGCAATTGCCTCTGATAAGGTTAGCCTAGAGGGTGTATTCCTAGGCCATGTAGACTTCTATTTGAGTTCCTCAGTTGTACAGTGTTTCTGGAGGGGCTCTGATTTCAGTTAGAGTCACTGCTTTAGATGAATTAGACAATCTGCTATATACTCAATAAAAATGCATGGTTGAGGTTTGCCTGCCTCCCTGCCTGAATCTCAGCAGAGTACTGTTTAAATTCCCAGGTATGGCAGAATTAGTCCCTTCCCCCTGCTGAAGTACACAGCAGCATGCATCTGTTTCACTGGGTAGCCTGAGATGGGATCTGAAGCTGGTTCTAAAGGATGCCCTCTAGGGATTAAAGACAGGTAAAAATTTCCACCACTTCAGCTTGGCTTTGTGGGTCGACTGTGCTGTTAGCTGATACCTGTGACTGTGTGCCACTATTGTCAGGTATACAAAGCTACCACCATGATTTGCACACTTGTTGGTGTAGGCTACTTGCTTTGTTTCTACCTCACCCCAGATGGTCTAGCTACACTGTCACCCCTGTGTTTCCTGTGAGGTGAGATGGGAGTGGGCTTCTTGAGAAGTAACTCAAAATGCTAGGGAAGCTGTATGTCCACCTCCAGTTCTCTGTTTCCACTGTAGAAACCATGGGCCCTGGGGAATCCTCTCTGTGTGCTACTGTGCCAACTTCAGGAAGAGGTAGGGATGACACAAAGTAAGATAATTTCTTTCACTGTTTTAATCAGTTTTTAATCAGTTTAGTGGGCCATGCAGGAGTCTCAGACTTATTCTCAAGATTAGAAGTTTTCAACAAGGTGTCCTTGCCTGGGGATAGTTGCTAGATGAAATTTATGTGAAATGTAGTGAAGTCTGAGATTCCCTCTTCTGAAATCTTGCTGACATCACTTATCTATATAGTATGTTTTTAAGCTAAGTGTATAGGGAAGTGTTTAAGACTTCTCAAGCCCAAATAATAAAAAATAAGGCTAAATTATTCAAATAGTTGAAATTTAAAAACACTGTTAAAACACTTTAAAAAGAATAAAAAATTCAGATGCTCAGAGAAGATCTTTGCAGCATATATGTAATCTCTATAATTTTCAGCATCTAAAATGTTAGTACAGCACACAGAGATTATTATTAGACTTTAACAAGTCAATAAATAAAATAAAACCAAATGAAAAAAATGATATATGACATGATTGAGAATGTTACAAAGAGAACCAGGGTGAGTACTCACATGCAAAAAAGTTCATTAGTCATCACAGAAATGCAAATTTAGATAACATAATACATCCAATATACTCGTCAAAACTTATGTCTAATTATGAAAAGTATTGTTGAAGATATGGAACAACTTGTATACATTGCTAGTGAAAATATTAATTTGAATAACATTTAAAAATTTGGTAATTTAAACCATGTTTCAATAATTTTGTTTCTACCTATATAATCTGGAGAAACCTATGAATACTTGCTTTAGGAGACATTTATAATAATGCATATAGCAGCAATGTATTTAAACATTTTATTTATTAGTGAATGAATACATTAAAATCATATATAGATAAAAATGTGTAGGCCATATATATATGTACATATATATCACAGAAGCAAAACGTCCCAAGAAAAAATGCAAGCTGTAAAATACTTCATAAATTGTGTTAACATTTGAAACATTTTAAAAAGAAGTCAAACCATATATTGCACAATGATATATAACATTATTTTATAAGCTATTATAGAAAAGCAAAAGAATAGAAAACATAAAATTCAGTATATTCTCAATCCCAAAATGTCAGGAAAATTGAATAAGGGATGAGAGGGGGTTCAAGGTTATTTGTAGCATTAAGTTTTTAATTTTAGATGTTAATTAACGTGTTCCCCTTTTTTTTGTCCTGGATGTTAAAGTTCATAACTTAAAAATATATTATCATTTTCTGTCTTGAATGTGTCAGTAGTATAAAATAAATGCATAATTTTATTTTTAAATAAATACAAATCAAGTTTTAAATTTCAGTGTGTATGATATCTTTAAAGATCTTTATGCATATTTCAAAAGATAAAGACAAATATCTAAAAGCCTACAGTGCATAGCAAAAAATGATAAATACCACAGAAAGGGGCAAATATTTGCCTATAAAATCTTAGGAAAGGAGAAGTTTATATCAGCCAAAATATTTTTTTGAAAGTGGCATGGACATCACAGTTGGTCTTTAATATGTGTGATTTATGTATTTGAATACATGCATGCCAAATATGTGTGTTGCAGGAATGTCTGGAGTATTTTTATGGTGTAGTCCTACATTACTTATTGGACTATGCTATAGATTCTGTTGTAACTTAGAGGGTGCAGAATTACTGAAATAGGAAATTGATTGGATATTTTTTATGAGACCATATTACCTTGAAAAAATATCTATTTCATTTTAGTTTATATTTATGTAAAATATTATAGTAAAGATATTGGGAATCATCTAGGCACATGAGTGAATTAGTGAAACGTGGCTGGGTTTAAAAATATTAAATCAGAAATGCAAGTTTTATTATCCCAATTGATCCTTTTCTTCCTACAATGCATCCTGTATAAGAACTAAACCCCATTTTTTTACTATTGCCATTTTTGGGTCTCATATTTGTGATGCCTTGTGAAGGACAACCTTTGCTGTCTTTACCACTAGTACAGTGTAGCACAAACATCTTATCATCATTGAAATAAACTTCTTATGTCTCAAATCTACTCACATTTGGTTAGTATGACGTAATGAAAGTATGCTGATTTTGAAATTTATGTAAAGTGTTTTGGAGAACTTTTGAGAAAAACATACAGTTTATTCATAGTTTGGCATTAACAAAGACTCAGATTCTATCTGACCTACTCTCATCAATCAGCTTTTTAAAATTTAAAAATATTCATACTACACTTTAAAATCATTGTTATCTGTTATGATTTTAAACATAACAGATAATAATCAATGTTGATTAATTACACCGTTAACAATTTCACAGAATTTAAAAAGTTCTACAATGGTGTTTTATATGTTAAATATTCTTTTGATAAATACATTAAATTAACAAAATAAATCTGGAAGGCAAGACAAATTCTGCACACATGCTATATTTATTTTTTGTAAATAGTACAAATTTCCAGCAGAGAAATTACTTCACTATCTTCAGACAAGCTTATATTACAGTCATATAACTTCTTTTATTTTATGCAAATTTTATCCAGTCATTCTGTTTCTTTTTGCTTACATCCATAGGCACTTGATTTCTGGCATTTGCTAGAGGATAATTTTGCAAACCACTACAAAAATGATTTCATCATCACTGGTGAAATCTTCTTAGGGGCTAAAATGTTTTTATAAATGACTCCTTGAAAAACTCAAAAGTGCTATTTTAAAATTCAAGATGAGATTTTTCCTCTCATTGACTTAACACCGTTTAATGTTATGTCATTTTTGAAATGGCAAAGTGGATATTCAAACAAAGGATACCTCAGTAAGCTGCCTATACTTATGAGACTATTTTACTCTTTTAAATAAATTTGGCCGGGCGAGATGGCTCACTCCTGTAATCCCAGCACTTTGGGAGGCCGAGGCGGGTGGATCACCTGAAGTCAGGAGTTCGACACCAGTTTGGCCAACATGGCAAAACCCTGCCTCTACTAAAAATACAAAAATTAGCCAGGTGTGGCGGCGGGCACCTGTAATCCCAGATACTCGGGAGACTGAGGCATGAGAATCACTTGAACATGCGAGGCAGAGGTTGCAGTGAGCTGAGACTGCACCATTGCACTCCAGCCCAGGCTACAGAGTGAGACTCCATCTCAAAAATGAATAAATGAATAAACAAACAAATAAATAAACAAAAATTTACAATAGATAGAAATCTCTTTTGCAGTGTTCGGTAAGAATGATTTTATAAGCCATGATCTAGATTCTCCAGTTAGGGGTATGTGTGGTGCTGGAACACTCTGTACTGATGCTTTAGTATTTTCCTAAGTGTTCTTTCAAGTTATACAGCAATTCCCAGCTTTTCCTTTTAGTTAATTTTGGGACAAAGTTTTAATGAGCCTGTTTTTATCTTGTCATAAAATACATTTGTAATGTTGATCTCTGTTCTAATGCTCATGAGGAAGATCCACTTTAGAATAATTTGTTACACCTTTATTGACAGGAGGGTGAATATCTATTCTAACTAAAACCACATTTTCCTCACCCAAGGCAACACTGTTCTCTTTCAACTTCATGGCAATTGTTGTGTGTTTATTGTCCTTTTTTTGTGGCGTGGGGGTGAGAAAGGCTCTGTTGTTCTTGCTGTAGTTGTGGTTTATAGACATTTTGAAAGAGAAATTGATATCACTGTAGCTGTAATAATACAAGTGTCTTTCTATTTTTTAGATAAAAGTAACTAAAGATACCAATGAATTAAGAATTCATAACATGCCTAATGTCCCTTACATGTTCTACTTTCACCCTCTCCCAAAATATTTTATCAAATTCATATATAAATGCACTTTGCTAATATTTTTATATTTAAAATTTATTGTCTGTCATGGTGCAGCCTTTCTGTCTGTTCCTTCATCATCCCTCCAGGATAAAGGAGATATGTTTTTACTTTGCTCATAGTTGTATCCCAAACCCCTAGATAGGAAGAGACTGAATAAATATGAATTCGGGCATTAATGAATTGTGTAAACAACTGTAGTCTCAGCTGATACATTGAGACTTTAGTTATCTTAAGTGTCATCAAAACCTATTAGTTTGCTAAACATAAATTAATGCACATACTTTGGAGTAAAGGTAAAGAACACATTTCAGTGAATATGCTTTGGCATCATCTGTTTTCTTACATTAATTAAGCAAGAAAAACTATTCTCATTAAAAGAGACACTAAGGTTGCGTTTTATCTTGCATACTTGTGCTTCTTCATTTTCTTTTTCGTTTTTATAAATACACTAAAATGCTGAGACTTGTATTCACCAAACTTAGAGACACATTGAAGGTAATCTTAAACATTCTCTCCAGCCTGAATAGAATGTTATACTCTCAATAGATTTTATGGTTTTCAATTTTCCTTCACAAATCTTAAGTAATCTCCATTTCTCAAAGCCTAATGTATTTCAATGTATGCCATCTGTAACTCGATTTCTTCTTCTTCAAAAATGCTGAAGTCTACTTAAATCCTAATATCTTTGCAACTGCTGGAAATTTTTCTTCAATCTTGCTATCATTTTAAGCTCACATTTTCAACCCCATGAGGATAATATGCTGTAGCCAAAATATGCTGTGACTTTTGTCACTGTTGTAATTCAGCTTCAGAATCTGTTTGCAACCCCTTTTGGTTCTGTATTAATTTAATCAGCTATGCAAAGAAAATGAGAGGCCATAGAAAAAGCCCTTTAAATTTTTAAGTATCTAAAGTCACTACCCACATAGAGCTATTAGTACAGCATATCCCTTAATTCTTATGTTTTGAGTAAAATTAATTTAATTAAAATAACAAATTTAAGAATTCTGAGGGATAGGAACAACTAAAAATTTCAGATTTTCACTTTCTCATATACAAAGAAAAACAATATTTAACACATGTGAAAATAGTTATTTAAAATATAAGTCTGTGTTTTGAATATTTATTTATCCTGAAATTAAATTATTTTCACAGTTTTATTATTTAAACTTAAGAAGAAAAATATTTTCTCTTGTTTTTCTACCTGTTCCTCTCTGCTAAACTACTTTGAAGTATTCTTAATGAAAAAGATAAATACTTCAAGGAATGTTCTTATAAAGAAGTTAGTAAAATATTTATTGTGGTAAGTTATGTAAAAAACTGTCATTAGCTCTCAATGTGTTAATGCATTATTGAAGATTATTTAAACAGAAGTGAATAAAAGCCAAAACTTCCAAGATAAACAGCTGTGTGAAATAAAGTCTCATTGGTTATTCACAATTTTGGAATAAAGCAGAGGGTACCTTTAAAATATGTTCCTCCTTGAAAACCAGAATATTTACTTCAAAACTGAGCACTAAGACATATCAATTGAAATATCATTTGTTAATAACTGAAAGGAATTTAATATAAACATTTAACAAGGAACTACTGATCCTTAAAAACTCTAATTGTATTAAAGTCACTTCATTTTCTACACTAACATCTATAAAATCAACCATGTACAAGAAGATAGTTGCAGTTATAAATTGGCAACAGCACAAATAACTCGTATTAAACTCCAATGGCTTAACAAATCCCCATTTAATTTTGTTCACATAACAAGATGTTTCCTTTAAAGTGGATGGTCCAGAGCTGATGGGAGACTTTTCAAGGTTGAAAATATTCCAGCCTTCCACTTTGCTTTTGATCCAACATTCTTAACCGTGTCATTTATTTCTATGGCATGGTTAAGAATTGTTCTTGAAGTTTCAGCTTCTCATTGTATACAGGCAAAATGTAAGATGCCAAAAAGAAAAAAATAAAATAAAGGCTTTGGCTTTATTCCCCTAAGGAAATTAAAACAACAAAATTAGACAACCACAATAACATCCACATCTCGAAAGTCCCAAAAAAGATTGTCTAACAACTTATTGGCTAGTATTGGGTCACAAGATCACCACCTGGTACAAGAGATTATTGGGAAATGAAGAGTGAAGTGGAATGGATGTGGGCTGGGCAAATAGCAGTGTTGCCATGCAAAAATAAAAAAAAAAACACCACTTTTTTGGGGTATAAAGATATATTTTCAAGTATAAGAAGTGAAGTTTAATAGTTATATAGTTATTACATCTATTTTATTCATTATTTTAGGTTTCTTAATACTCAACTATTTTTTGTTAATGTTCATTTGATTTTTCTAGTACTGATTCCCCTACTATTAATGTTTTTATCCAGATATAGCATTACATCTTCTGTAGCTTTTGTTTCATAAAGATAATTTCTGACTAATGTAGTCCATAAATATTGAGGGACAATATTTCTTCATTGTAAATTATGACTTTTAGCAGTAAAACAAACTTTTCACATTTGATGCTGTTTAGTTGAATTATATTTTTGTAAAATATCATGATGAGTATTCTTACTTTTTCCCCCATATTTTGCATATTCCTTTGACTACACATTAATTTCAGTATTTCTGATTAATTTTAATTTATGTCCATTTTACAGATAATAGTTGCATCTTGCTTTGTCAGCTAGATTAGAACTTTTTTATTTGTCCATTAAAGAAAATCTTTTTTATTGATAAGTTTTATTTCCACCCCATCATACTATTTTATAATTAAACTTGTGTGAATACGTTACATTTTTTGACAAAATGTGTATTATCATCTTTTAAGAATAAATTTATATTTCACATGGTTCATATTTTTGTTCCAGTTAGCTTTGGAATTATACCTTAAGATCCTAAGTTCACTGTTTAGATTTTAACTAGTTTGTCATTTTTAAATGGTACACTTTAACTCTCACCTATTGCCTAATATGAAAAATCAATGAGACTGTTCTCCTTCCCTGTTTTCCTTTCCGTCACCCTTTTTTTAGGTTGCATTATTTTGTCAAACAGATCTATTTGTGCATTAGTCTTCTACCCTCATCATCATCTATTTTTAGTCTGAGGCATATTAATATATAAATGTTTCATGCTCACCTACAGTTCTTTTACTAAGGTTTGCTCAGTCCTGTCTTGGTTGAATAAAGATTAACTTGTAGTAAATCCAAGAAATTCTTATCAGTACAGAATTCCCTAACCTCTTGTATGTTTAAGACTTTTTCATGGCCTTAACATCTGAAGTTCAGGTTAGTTAGCTATACAATATTTAGGCTTCATTTTCTTTTGTTGGGTCTTGAAACTGCTGCTCCACTGATGACTTGCTTTATATGTTGCGTTGGAAAAGTCTGATGTCACTTTAAATATTTTACTCTTGTACTTCATTTGATGTTTTGTCTAAAAGTTTAATGAATTTTTTCATTTGATGTAATGTATTTTTCTAGAATATATATTGAAGATTATTGTTTGGCGATAATATCCTCAGGTGACTTTTGGATCCTTTCAATATTTAGATTTCTAAGTTGAGTCTATTTCTGGAAATTTTTTTTGAATGATAGTTTCAAACATTAGCTTTGTTTCACTGTTTAATTTTTGCTTCCCACTACCCTCCAAGGGCCATCTATTATACAAATGTTATTCTTTTTTTATTTTTTTGCCTATATTTATGACCATTTTAACTCTTTATCTCATTCCACTCACTCTGTTTTACCTTTACCCAATACTCCTCATAAAATATCAATTATTTATTTATCTTCCTATGATTTAGTTTTTATTTCTAAATTATTCATTATTCTCTTTCTTTATATCCTGAGTTTAATAAACTTTCAATATTTTGTGCTTTGTTCATGTCTTTTTTAAGTTTAAAATAATTCTTGTTTCAGTGTGTTTTTCATATCCATAAATACTTGTTTCAATATTTTATTTAAAAGGTCGTCCCACATAGTTTTTCTACTTTGCTGTAGACTTTGGCAAGAAATTTTCTTCAGATGTATGTTAAGCACATATTATAATATTTGCAAGAAATATGTGTAAATATTTTCAATTTTCCATGCACTATGAGAATTTGTGATGATTTATAATATTTTTAGTTAAATATCTTTTTATCAGTGTAGCAAATTACAGATTCAAAAAAGTTTTCTTTTTGGTGGTGAAAGGAATAATTTTATTTCCTGTGATTTTTTTTTCTTATTAGATTCTAAATTTTCTGTCATTTGCACTTTTACCCCATTACCACTGAAATGCTAATTGGTGACCCTCTCTTTACATGTTTATTTGCCCTAGTACCTAGGCCTTTCAAATTCTGTGGCAAATCATACCTAATTTCCTTCCCTTCAGTGTTTTACAACAACAGATCTACTGACATTTTTGGACTGCATTTTTTTTTTTTTTCCTGTGAGGGTTTTTCTTGTGTATTGTAGAATGTTTACCAGCCTCTCTGGTTTCTACCCACTACATACCGATAGTAACCACCTGTCCAATGTGAAAAATAAAAATGCCTCCAGGCATTGCCAATTGTCCTCTGAAAGGGAAAATGCCCCAAGTTGAGAACCACTACTTATAAAAATATTTTACGCTTAGAGTTAACTTATTCTTGAAAACTGGGATTTACCTAGATTTCCTTTTCTTTCCCCTAAAGTTTTTCTTGGGCCGACATTGCTTGTCATAAAAATTTGTAATGGAACTGAGTAAAAGAGGGAGTTCACTGGGATATGATATTTTTTTTCTTCTCTTAGTTATTTTGAAGTGTGGACGGTCTCTCTTTTCAGTTTGTGTGGAGATGGTACTTGTTATGTAGTTTTATTTACTCTGCTGAAAATTATTATTCTGCAATATTTGGAGAAAATATTAGAAGGCTTGGTTTCATTTCTTCTGAATAAATATAAAAATAAAATTTTATATGCACTATCTGTGGAAAAAGCTATATTCCCTGAAAAACTATTTATAGTTGATGAGTGACTTAGGTTTTTCAATGAAAGGTTGTTTTAAAACAATTATTGTTAGTAGTTTTCCATATATGAGTCTGGATATTGGAGCTTCATACAAGGTGTAGGAATAATGACAACTTTATGAGAGTAGCACAATAATAAAAACATAAATGCATTATAATGATATTGTGGCAGACTAATCTCATGACTATAAAATTTATCAAAATGAGATTATTTCTATTGCAAGGTTTCTGGGTTTTCTGGACTCTGAGAAATGCTTGACCGTTTAACATAGTATGATTCCTAGCAAGTTTCCTATTACCTAGGTTTATAGGTAAGATATTCATCTTTTTTTAATAGAACAGTTTCACCACTTTATAAATTAATTCTTAGGATTTATAAAGATTTAAGAGTTTTTTCACTTCTCTTCTAACCCCAATCAGCCATCAAGTGTTTATTGACTAACTACATACATCTATGGTTAGAAAATGTTTAGAAAAGATCTTTAAATAATGTGTAGTCCAGGAGTTAAGACAAAAGCTGTAGCTTAAAAACAAGCCTAAAGCACATTACAATGAATAGTATAAGAATACATTTAAATGTGTAAACAAGGCATCACGTTTCTTAAAAGAAAATGGATAATAATCAAAACAAAGCAAAAAAGAAAAGTATGTTACATAATCTGAATATAGATGTCATGAAATAAAAAAGTTACATGTAAAATATGAAAACTATCTTCAAGGTGGTAATAATAATGTTAATATTTTTGTATTCTATTGATAGAATTATGTATATGCTATCCATACCAGACACAGTAACAAGAATTTAATTATCATAAATACCCTTATGAATAATACTATAAATATTTCCACTTAAACAGATTATGTGCATTTCTCAGGTTCACACAAGTAGTAATTGATGGAGTGAAATGTTTAATTCATGGCGTCTAACAACAAAACCCTTATTTTGAAGAGCCATTTTAATTCATTTGTGTCTTCGGTTTGCAAAACAGTATCACCTATAATCAAAATTTGAAGACTTGCGTGTTATTTATCTTCTAACTAGAATAATGCTCTTCCAGGGAATACTCTCGTTATTTACTGTTTGGGGAATAAATAAGACATAATGCTTTGTCTATCACAAACTATTTTTTTGTTAGAGCAGATATCATTCCTTAAAACCATGAGTTATAGATCTTAGGAAAATATAATTTAAAAAATTATCAAATTTCTAAAACAGTTTCTATATTTGTGAATCCATATTTCAGAATTTGGCTACTCTACTCACATCCCTACAGAATTATTTTCTTTTTCAATTCAATACCAGCAGATATTTGGATCATTAACATTTTGTTTTGATAAATGATTATGAAGAAATAAGAATTAATTTTAGTAATAAAAATATTGCATTATCAGAGTTAATATGGCTATCTCAAATTTCTACACACAAAAAGAATAAATCCTACATTTATTTTTATTAAAAGAGCCATTATTTATTAGATTTTAATGAAAAATTCACTTTTTAACACATGATATCAATAAGAACTACATATATTTTATATGTAAAAAATATAGTAATGGTCTTTATTCCAATTATTCCTTATAACATTGCACTGAGTTATACTGTTTAATTTTTATTTAAGTAATATTTCCTGTCACTTCACTGAGCTTGTATTTATATTATTCTCCTAGAAAGAAACATCACTTTACTAATGTACAATATCTAGCTGAATACAAAGTGTATTTGCATGTTATGTAAAATAAACAAGGTATCATATCTATTGAATGTACAATGTCTGTTTCTCTGTTATCTGGTTGATGACAAGTTCACTCAAGTTCACAAGTAGTAATTTATGGATTGAGATTGATGTTGAGTTTGTGTCTGTGTATCTGTACATATTTAGCAGTTGGTTCTGCCCTCCTAAATAGTCAACATTATACTCTATCAGCTGTGATTTGGCTCACACTATGGAATCAACTGACATTTTACATTTCAATTCATAGATTGTAGAAAGTGCAGTAAGTCATAATATGAAATAAAACTCATAAATGTAACCTGTAAATTTTTTATGATATATATATGAAAATAAAGTTTATACAGAAAATAGGCATCACAGCCTTGTTTTCAAGTGTGACACCAAGATTTCCTTAATGTTAACTTTAATATAACATTTTCAGTGGATTTCATACTGCCAAACACATATATTAAATACTCAATAAAATTACAATTTGCTCCACTGCTTTTGTAGATAAAATATCGTGACTTACTAAAAGGTTTTTAGAGATCAGTAGGAGCTTATATTGTGAAATATAAAATAAAGTGAATAACTAGATAAAATCCTTTCACAAGAGTATACAAATTAATTTAAGAAGCATAGATTTTGAAACTTTTGTTTATTATTTAAAAATAATAGTGTGAAAATTGTCATGGTGAAGAATGAAATGCTGTATTTAATTATTTTAGTCCTTTCCAAAGCAGGGATAGAAGGCATGATGGAAATTGAAAACAGTGACAGATCGAAGCTAAATAACTTGACACAGACACAATAAGACTGCGACTTCTGGCTAAACAGGTTGAGATGTAACACTTAGGCACAATCCATTATTGTGTAAAATTGGACATGCTACCAAGACATTATACTCCAGTTACTTCAATCATGTTACTATATTAGGCTCCCAAGCCTATTTCAACATCTTATTGTTTGATTTTTAAGATATGTTAGTATTATAAATTTCAATCTTTCAAAATCCCTGTTTTCTATAAATTAACATTGTATTCATATGTGGAACCATGTTCTCAAAATGAGCCATATGAAAATATAGTACAATATATTAAAATGTAAAAATATTATTTAATGTGTTAGAGGTAATGTTAGTAAACAGATATAAAATATGTTTATATATAATACAATTTATATATTAATATAATCTCTAAAAATATATTTACTTATTAAAGTTGCATATTTAATATATATTATATGTACATATATAACAATAAATATTTTGTATTATATTCATATTAAAATTTTAATATTTACATATATTAAAAATATCTAAAATTATATTTTAGATACAAAATTATGTTTTAGACATTTATGGTAGGTCAATCCTTTATGCTAAATATTCAAATTAAGGTAAATGTTACCATAGTAAACTAAATAATATTCCCTCCACCTCAACATATCCATATCCTAATTTCCAGAACCTGTGATTATTTTACCTTAGATGGTAAATGGAACTTTGTAAATAGGCTTAAATGAAGAATATTGCAGTGAGGGAGATTATTTAGGTGATACAAATATAATTACAAAGGTACTTATCAGTGCATGCAAGAGGGTGAGAATCAGACAAAGAGATGTGAGCCTGATGAGAGGAGGAGAATGAGAGTGAGAGTGAGAGAGGAGAGGAAGAGATTTGGAGATGTTGTGTTGTTGGCTTTGAAGAAGATGGAAGGGATCATGAACCAAGGAATGCAGGTGGCCTCTAGATGCTGTAAAAGGCAAGAAAATTGATTCTAACCTAGAGGCTCTGGAAGGAATACAGCCCTGCCAACACTTTGATTTTAGACCTTCTGAACTTAGAATTGTAACATAATTTGTATTTACACCACCAAATTTGTACTAATTTGTTACAACACCTATAGGTACGTACAGTTACGTGTCTAAAGTCAGTTTTTTGAAAAGTCAAATGGAGTTGTGTAACTTGCCCAAGGTATCACAATTAATAGGTGTTGAAAACAGAATTAGAACCTGTCTACTCTTCCCTTAAGCTTCCATGGATTCATAATTTTTAAGAAGTATTAACTCTTGTTTTTCTAAAACCTAGATCTTGGGACATACTAAAAGGAAAGAAAATGTTCAATAGCAATGATGTTTTATAATTTCATGGGGTAAGTTTTACACCTCTTTTTTAAAGGGCATTGCTATTTGTTTTCAATACTATTGTAAATAAAATAATTTCCTTTATTTTATTTTCAAATTGTTCATTGTTAGTGTATAGAAACAGAAATACTTTCTATATTTTGATTTTATAATCTGACACTTGCTGAATCTGTTAGTTCTAATACTTGTTTTTTTTTAGTGTGTGTAGGCTGCTTATGGTTTTCTATATACAGGATCATGCTAAATATGAATAGAGATAGTTTTGCTCCTTATAAAAAAGAACAAACTGGCTGGGCATGGTGGCTGGCACCTGTAATCTCATCACTTTGGGAGGCTGAGGCGGGCAGATCACATGAGGTCAGGAGTTTGAGACCAGCCTGACCAATATAGTGAAACCCCATCTGTACTAAAAATACAAAAACTAGCCAGACGTGGTGGCATGAGCCTGTAATCCCAGCTACTCGGAAGGCTGAGGCAGAAGAATTGCCTGAATCCATGAGGCTGACTTCGTCAAAAAAAAAAAAAAAAAAAAAAAAAGAACAAACTATACTTCATTAATTGCAACTTCTTATATGACAAACTATGACTATTAAGCTTCTTGTAAGAGTCATGCATTGTGCTAGGTGTGCCTAAACTAATAAAGACCATATGCCTCCCCTGAAGAGTTTTCTCTTCTTGGATAATATGACATAGAAAAGTTTTTATGCAACAAAAAATAATAAACACAATTTTGTAGTTTTGCTTTTGAAGAAGCCTTAGTTTTCCCAAATAAAAAGCAATGATAAATATATACACATGATTAGCTGGTTTATCATTTTAAGGTTTGCTTAAGTTATTGGAGCAAAACTGTGTTTCTTCTATGTAAATAAGAAACTAAAATAATTATATGCATTTTCAATGTGTAATACAAAGCAATATTCTTTGAAAAAATATAATTCATTGTAATTATACTTCCAACATATCTAGAAACATAAGAAGTTTTGTTAACAAATTATGTAAGTCTGTTCATCATTTAGTCTTTAGACCTATTTTTATTTAGTTATTAAGTAAATGGAAAGATTAAAGTAGTTGAATTTTATTCCCATGGTTTTGTACATGCGGCTGTGCTCAGAATGTTTACTTACACATAGAAATGCTACAAACATATTTTCAACATATTTTCAAGCAACTTTTTAACCAACAGAAGAAGAAAAAAAAAGAGGGGCAGTATTTCTTTCATTAAAATTTCTCCTTTTTATTCATGATGACAGATCTGTGTGACAAGAGTAAAAATATTAATGAATTTTGAAAACACCATTTATAACAATGCTCCCAATTTATATCAGTGACACAGGCAAACATTACTCTTTCTATATCTCACCTGTTTAATTTTGTTTCTAGTAAATTGATAAATACACCAAAAAGATTTACATTAAGATATGAGAAATATAAATTAATGTCATCAATTGGAAGTTAGCTAAATATGTGACCAAATTATTGATAGTTGATTTTCCAATTTTAGAGAAGATTTTCAAGGTAATTCTTAAATCAGGTTGGGTCTCCTGTATAAAATAACTTACATACTTACTTTTAAATGAAGCATTGTAGAGAATTATAAATAGTAATGACCTTTCATTTTATAACATGTAAATAGGTATGTTCAATATTCTTTGTTATTATGTATTTAGAAACTAGTCACTGAAAATATTATGTAAATTTATCTACTAAGGGAATTTAAGTTTTTCTAAAAGTTTTGGCTTAAATACATAATTTTTCTTTTGAAAATGTTTTGTTACCATCTTAACTATCAATCATGAAGAATGAAGAGATCAATAGGATTGAAAAATCACTTTCAATGTAATTTTTAATCTTACAAATTATAGGACTTATTACCTTAAGTGGTAATGAGAATTTAATCCTATAAAAATTATTTAAGGTCCCAAACCAGGTCATTCTGAAAACATATATATTTTGTTTCCGACAGAAATAGTTTATGAAGGTGAATAAGATTATTTTCTTTTTTCTGCTATGATACATAGCATTCTATACATTCATAGGAGGAAATTTGCCTACAGACTAAAATTCAGCCTTTGGTCATATTTCCATTGGACCCTATAAAGTTTTAAATATGAGATATTTTGTATTAAAATATCCAAGTCTCTGTTTTTTTTTTTAATTAATAAACTTTATTTCTTAAAGCAGTTTCAGCTTTAGAGCAAAATTTAACAGAAAATACAGAGTTCCCATACACCCCCTGTCTTCATACACACACAAACTTCCCCACTATCCATATGCTGCACCACACTGGTATGTATATTATAATCAATTAACCTACATTGAAATAACAATAGTGGCAGGAGGCAGACAAATTCCTAGGCAGGAAGGGGCGGGTCCCAATGAAACCCAAGCTTCAAGCCAAAGGCAACCTGAAGCCTGAAAATTAGGCTGCCAGTTCTGGGTAGAATTCACCACCCAGAGTGAAAACTTCCTTGATGCTTTTTAGCCAATCAAATGGTGCTTTTTCCAGGCCCACCCATGGACAAATCAGCATGCACTTCTTCCTGCCCATAGACCAATCAGAATGCACTTCCTCCCTTCTGAGACCGTAAAACCCTGGACTCAGCCACAAGTTCAGGGCTACCTGCCTGTAGGTAGGAGTTACCCACTAGGGGAATCCTCTTCACTGAGAGCTGTTCTGTCTGTCAGTAAAACTCTTCTCTGCCTTGCTCATTCTCCATTTGTCCACATAACTGCATTCTTCTTGGAGACAGGACAAGAACTTGGGATCCACCAAAAGGAGGACATGAAAAGGGCTGTAACACGTTCTTGGCCAGATTGCTGAGCTCTGGATGGTGACATGCTCCTGTTTGCTGGACCAGAAGTAAAGTGCAGCCACCCTTTGCGGGGCCCAGGCCTCAGGATTTTCCAAGCCAGAGTTTAAACACGATAGCCTTCGTGCTCCAGTGACACGAAGTGGTGGAGAGGAGCCCGGGAGACACTGGACAGAGCAAAGCATGGGACTGAAGGAGCTGAAACATGTCCCTGCCCATTTGCAGAGCTGTGGGTGGTGGGAATGAGAGAGTTGTAGCACACCCCCCAACCCTAGGAGCTCTGCAGCTGTTGGCGTCTCCAAGTTTTCTGGGACCATGGCATTCCCCTTTTCCTGACCGGATGCTGGCACCTGCAGCAGAAGTGGCTTGTTGTACGCCTAGTCCAGCTACTGCCTCGCATGGAGCCGGTGCCTGTGACAGTACCTGGAGCTGCCCACCCTGCCACAGCAGTTGGCATGCCTGGCTGTGTGCAGTAGCCCTGCACTCACTCGCTCACACATCCCTCATTCCTCTGCACCTGGCTGGCCCTTGGCAGGCATGGGATCCAGGCTGGTAGTACAAGCAGAGCACTGCCTGCCAGTCCCAATAGGTGGAACAAGCCCAGTGGGCATGAGGGAAACTCAGGCAGAGACACTGACAGCCACAGAGGTTTCCAGCTGGCAAAGCAACACCTAAAGGATCCTGTGACATCGTCATAACCTAAAGTCCGTAGTTTACATTACAGCTCACTCTTGGCATTATTTATGCTATGGGTTTTGAAAAATATATAGTGATGTGTATCCACAATGTACAGAAAAGTTTCACTTCCCCAGAAATCCTCTTTGTTCTTCCTATTCATCTCTCCCTCTCCCTTAATTCCTGGGAACTGCTTATCTTTTTACTCTCTTCATAGTTTTGCCTTTTCTAGAATGATATGGTTGAAATCATACAGTACAAAGCCTTTCAGACTGGCTTTTTTCTTTTAGTAATATGCATTTAAGATATTGTTTTATGTCTTTTTATAGTTTGGTAGTTCATTTATTTTTCAGCACTGAATAGTATTCTATTGTCTGGATGTACCGTAGTTTATCAACTCATCTACTAAAGAACATCTTGGTTGCTTGGTTGCTTTCAAATTTTGTCAATTATGACTAAAGCTGCTATCAATATTTACATACAGTTTTTGTGTGGATATAAGTTTTCAATTCATTTGGGTAAATATTATAGAATGTGGTAGTTGGATCATATGGTATTAATATGTTTTATTTGTATAAGAAAATACCAAACTCACTTCCAACGTGGTTATACTATTTGGTATTCCCACCAGAAATAAATGAGACTTCCATCTTGTTCACATGCTTGCCATCATTTGGTGTTTTCAGTGTTTTAGATTTTGCCTATTTCAACAGAAGTGTAGTGGTATCTAATTATTATTTTAATTTTAATATTTTATTTTCTAATGACACATGATTTTTAACATTTTTTCATTTTCATACTTGCCATTTGTGTATTTTCATTGGTGAAATATGTGTACAGATCCCTTGCCCAGTTTTTAAAATCAGTTTGTTTTCTTAATTTTGAGTTACTTTGTATATTTTGGATACTGCACCTTTATCAATATATGTTTGTAATTATATTATCCTAATCTTTGTGACATATAGTCATATACAGGGCAACAGTTTTAAATTTTAATGAAGTCCAGGTTATCAATTCTTTTTTTCGTGGATGATGCTGATTATGTTGTATCTAAAAAGTCATCACCATATCCCAGGTTATCAAGGTTTTCTCCTATGTAATCTTCAAAGAGTTTGAGTTTTGGCTCTTACATTTGTGTCTGTAATCTATTTTGAGTTAATTATTGTAAATATTGTGAGATCTGTGTCTAGATTATTTGTTTGTTTGCATGTAATGTCTAAAATCCATTGTTTTACCATCGATTGAAAAGACTATCTCTGCTTCATTGCATTGCTTTTGTTTCTTTGTCAAAGATCAATTAGTTGATTATAAGTATGTGGGTCTCCTTCTGAACTCTTTATTCTAATGTATTAATCTATTTGTCTATTCTTTCATCATTGCCACGTCTTGATTATTGTAACATTATAGTTTGTCTTTAAGTTAGAGAGAGTCCTCTAGTTTTGTTCTTTTCCTTCAATACTGACTTGTTAGTCTGGATATTTTACCTTCCCATATAATCTGGAATTGGCTTGTTGATATGCACAAAATAACCTGCTGGAATTTTGATGAAAATTATGTTAAATCTATATATTGAGATGGGAAAACTGACATATTGGTAATGTTTTTCTTTCCTACCCATGAACGTAGAGTATTTCTCCATTTATTTACTTTTTCCTTGTTATCTTTCATCGGAGGTTTATAGTTCTCCTCATATAATTTTGAACATATTTGGTTTATACCTAAGTATTTCATTTTTGAGGTGCTAATTTAAATGGTAATATCTTTTTAAATTTAAATTTCATTTTTAATTACTGATACACAGGAAAGCAGCTGGCTTTTGTGTATAATCTTATATCCCACAAACTTGCTATAATTGCTTATCAGTTCCAGGAGTTTTGTTTTACTTATAAATTTAAAAAAATACAAAAGTAATCATGTAGTCTGTAAAAAAAAAAAGCAATTTTATTTCTTCTTTTCCAAGCTGTGTACCATTTATGTTTTTGTCTTTTTTTATGTTTTGGGTTTCGTCTTTTGTTATTGCTTTAGCTGGGACTTTCAAGATGATGTTGAAAAGCAGGGGTGAGAGGAGACATCCTTACCTTATTCCTTAGTGAAAAACCATCAGTTGAATTTCTCCTTATTAAATATGATATTAGTTGGTGATGTTGTTTAACCTAGTTGAGAAAGTTTCCCTTTATTCCAAGGTTACTGAGGGTTTTTATTATTAAAGAGTGCTAAATTTTGTGAATTAAAAAATATATATCTAAAGATATGGTCATGTGATTCTTGTTTATGAGCCTATGGATGTGATGGGTTACATTAACTGTTTTTCTATTGTTGAACCAGCCTTGAATACTTGGGAAAAATTCTACTTGTTCATGATATATCATGCTATTTATACCTTGCTTGATTCAATTTGCTAATAGTTTTATTGAAGATTTTTGCATTCATGTTCATGAGAGTTATTGGTGTGTAATTATCTTTGTAATGTTATCATCTGGATTTGGTATTATGGTAATGCTGATCTCATAGAATTAATTAGAAAGCCTCTCTGTTTGTATCTTCTGGAAGAGGTTACAAATAATTGGTGCAATTATTTATTTTAATATTTGATAAAATTTGCCAGTGAACTCATCCTGGTATGGTGCTTTTTGTTTAAGAAGTGTATTCATTACTGATTCAATTTATTTAATAGATATATATATAGAGAGACCTATGCAGATTGTCTTTCTTGTGTGAATTTTGCTATTATTATTACTTTGAATAACTCTTATCTGTTAGATCAATTTAGAATAAGAAACATGAAACTTTTTATCTTTACTTATTTATTCTTCAACTCTTCAACATTCTTCTTTTCTGTATGTAGAGCTCAGTTTCTGGCCTATGTCATTTTCCATCTCTGTAGAAGAACTTTTTCTTTTTCTTTTTCTTTTTTTTTTTTTTTTTGAGATGGAGTTTCACTCTTGTTGCCCAGGCTGGAGTGCAATTGTGTAATCTCGTCTCACTGCAACCTCCACCTCCCCGGTTCAAGCGATTCTCGCGCCTCAGCCTCCCGAGTAGCTGGGATTACAGGCATGCACCATCACACCCAGCTAATATTGTATTTTTAGCAGAGACAGAGTTTCTCCATGTTGGTCAGGCTGGTTTGGAACTCCTGACCTCAGGTGATCCACATGCCTCAGCCAAGAACTTCTTTTAACAATTTTTTGCAAGGCAGGTGTACTGGCAACAAATTTCCTCAATATAGTGTGCCAGAGAAAGGTTTTATTATTATTTTTTACTTTTGAAGAATAGTTTTGGTAGGTACCAAAATTTTGGTTTACATTTTTTATCTCCCAGTGTGGTAGATATTTCAGTCCCCTATTTTCTTGCTTTCATGGTTTCTGAGGAGAATGAGGTATTAATCTTACATTGGCCCTTATATAAATAATTGTGCACCTTTTTTCCTCCCTCTGGCTTCTTTCAATATCATTTATCTTTGATTTTCTGAAGTTTTAATATTATATGTCTAGATACAGGTGTGTTCTTTTTTTTTTCCTCTATCTTTTTTTGCACTTACTCTGCTTTTGGTTTGGTTTTGAGTTTTTGTTTCCTTGTTTTTGTTTGTTTTTGTTTTTGTTGTTGTTGTTGTTTTGAGACAGAATCTAACTCTCTTGCCCAGGCTGGAGTGCAGTGGCATGATCTCGGCTCACTGCAACCTCTGCAGCCCGGGTTCCAGTGATCCTCCACCTAAGCCTCCTGAGTAGCTGGAATTACAGGCATGCACCACCATGCCTGGCTAATTTTTGTGTTTTTAGTAGAGAGAGGGTTTCACCATGTTGGCCAGGCTGGTCTCAAACTCCTGACCTCAAGTGATCAGCCCTCCTCAGCCCCCGAAAGTGCTGGGATTACAGGCATGTGACACCGCGTCTGGTCTCTGAGTTTTCTGAATCTATGGTTTGGTGCTTGATAAATTCGGGGAAATTTGCTGACACTGTTGCTTTAAATATTGCTTTATTCCTCTCTCCTCCTTCTGGTATTTAATTAGGCATATATTCATTTTTTTGTAGTTGTTTCATATTTTTTGTAAATTCTATTCTGATTTTTGTTTCTGTATTGTTTTGTTTTTGCCATTTTTTCTCTTTTTAGTTTTGGAAGTAGGCAGTGTCATATCCTCAAACTCAGAAATACTTTCCTCTGTGGAGTCCAGTCTACTAATGAGTTCATGCAAGGTATTCTTTAGTTTTGTTACAAGGTTTTCTATTATTATCATTTTTTTCTTAGACTGTCCATCTCCCTGCTTACATTGTGCATATATTCTTTCGTGCCTTCTACTTTTTCTAATAAAGCCCTCGCATATTTATTTTAAATTTCTTGTATAATTCCACATTCCTGTCATTTCTGACTCTGGTTCTGGTGTGTATTTGTTCTCTTTAAGCTGGTATTTTTTGTATTTTTAATATATTCTGTAACTTTTTGTTGAAAGGTTGGTTGCCATGATGTACTGGGTAGATGAAACTAGGGTAAGTAGGCTTTTAGTATTATAATGGTAAGGGGGTGAAGCACATGGGGTAAATGGGGTGGGGCACATAAGACTATAAGGACATGTTTTATAGTCTTATAACTATGTCACCCTTTGGTAAGCTGTGTCTCTGGATTGTGAACTTTATCTGTGCTTCTCAGTATTTACTTTACCCCTTAGGTGGGATAGGATGACTATAAGGGGATGAAGTTGGGTATTTCCTTCCTCTAAATGTTTAGGCACTGATAAAACCCCAGCAAGTTAGGCTCCGGTAAAATCTTTTTTGTTTGTTTGTTCATTTAGTTTAGTTTTGTTTTTTTCTGACAGCAGGATTGTTAGGAGAAAGGTGTTCTGGCATAGTGCAAATGCATTTTCTCACTCCGTTCTGGAAGCTGCAGTTAATTTTTCTCTTATGTTCACTGTGAGGACCTGCTAGAGCAGTATTAGCAAACTATAGTCTATTTTCATAAATTGTATTGAGACATAATAGCGATTATTTGCATATTGTCTGGGCAGTTACATGCTTCAACAGCAGGGCTGGAGAGTTATGACTGAAACTGTATGGCTTACAGACCTGAAATATTTACTATCTTGCCCTTTAAGTAAGAATTTGCTGACCCTCAATCTAGACCTTATATTTTAAATGATTGCTGAATATTTAAAAAATCTTTTGTCCATCTAGGATTATCTGGAAATTTATTTGATCTGCATTTTCAAATTTATTGGTAAAAATGTTGTTCATATCTTATTTATCTCTGTTTATTTTTAGTAGGATCTGTAGTAATATCCATTAAAAACGTGAGTATTCTCTATTGTCTCTAACTTATTTGTCTCAACTAGTTTTGTCAGGTATTTACCAAATTTACTAGTGTTTTCAAAGAACCAAAATTGAATTTCTTATTTCTATTTATTTTATTTCTCCTATTTCATTCATTTCTGCTCTTAGCATACTTTTTTATTGTCTACTATTTTCTTTGCCTTTACTTTTTTTCAAAACTTCTAAAAATAGTACTTAAATGAATAATTTCCATCTTCTAATATATACATTTAAGGCTCTCCATATAACTCTGATTATGTGTGTATCAACAAATTTTGCTGTATTACAAAATATTTGTCAGATTAAATACTTATTTCAATTGTGAGTTATCTTTTGGCCTATAAGTTATTTAGAGTTATATTGCTTAATTTCTAAACCTTTAGGTATTTTTCCAGTGACTCATTTTCAGTAAATTCTAGCTATAATTAAATATGCTGTTTAAATCTTCTGTAACCATAATGATGTTTTGTCCCATTTTTCAATAAGTTACTAGATGAAGTGTATTTAAATCTCTGACAATAAGTATGGTTTTATTTTTGGGGGGTGGAGGGTAGCTTTATGTTTTGCTATTTGATTTTCAATTTATACTAAGTAAGAGGTTTTTTTTTTTTTTGAATCTAGCTCTGTTGTCAGGCTGGAGTGCAGTGGCACGATCTCACTGCAATCCTTGCCTCCCAGGTTCAAGTGATTCCTCTGCTTCAGCCTCCTGAGTAGCTGACATTACAGGCACGCACCATCACGCCCAACTAATTTTTTGTATTTTAGTATAGACAGGGTTTCACCGTGTTTGCCAGGATGGTCTCGATTTCCTGACCTTGTGATCCTCCCGCCTCGGCCTCCCAAAGTACTGGGATTACAGGCATGAGCCACTCACTGCGCCTGGCCCAGTAAGAGTTTTTATATCTTCCTATGAATTAGCCCTTTCATCACTCTAAAATATACCTCTCTATCTCTAATAATGACTACATGATATCAACTATAGCTCCACTAGCTTACGCTTGATAAACATAGGGGTGACATATCCTTTTCATTTCTTTACTGTCAATTTTTAAAATATATTTAAGTTGTGTTTCTTTCAACCAGCAGAGAGTGACATTTTGTTGTATTTATAAGTCAGACAAAGTTTGCTTTACAACTGGAGTTTTATATTATTTTAACCTAATGACATTATTGAAATGTGTGGTTTAAATTACTAACTTGAAATTCATTTTCTAGTTGTCTCATCCATTCTTTATTTCTTTTTGTTTCACTGTCTTCCATTCTTTTCATTCAATTTACTATATTTTCCTGTTTCATTACTCTTCTACAGCAACTTTTTAGCTATATATTATTTGACTTAGTAATTTAACTACAGATTACAGCATTTTCCTCTGATTATTTAAAAGAGTATAAATACACATTTATGTTATATTCTTTTCGGTGTTAGGATCCTAGAAAACTAATTCAATATGCAAGCTTAGTGACTTTAGTGTTATTTTTTGTCATGTATTTTAATTCTATATATTTTAAAATCCACATTATTATTATTTTATATTGTTAACTTTAATTTATATTTACCTACATATTTATTGATTTATTTAGATTTTCATTCCTTTTTGCATCTTTTTATTTCTATTTTGGCACATAATCTTTCTGCCTGAAGTCTTTCCTTTGTGTTTTCTTTGGTGTAGGTGTTTACGTGACAAACTTGGTCAGATTATTTTGGTACTAAAATGTCTGTATTATGCCTTCAGTTTTGAATGACAATTTCACTAGGTTTTTTATTTTCATTCTCTCTGGTTCTTGCCTTTTCCATTCCTGGATCTCTTGATAATTCTTTAAAATATTACTTTCTTTGTATTTATTCTGCTTGGATTTTGTTTATTTAATATATGGCTTGAAGTTTTAACTGATTTTGGAAAACTTATCTATCTTTTTATCTATTTCTTCTGCATCTTTTTCTATCTTCCTTTCTTCTGTATCTTCCACAGTATGTTAGAAATTTCATGGTATCCCATATATAACTCCTGCTCTTTTACTCAGTTTCTTTTCTTCTCTTTCTCTTTTAGTTACAATATTTTCTAATGACTTATTTTTATTTACTAATCTTCTCCTCTTCTGTGTCTACACTATCGTTAAACCCCTATTATTTTTAGTTCTTACTTTTAGTTATTGCATTTTTCAGTTCTAACATTTCCATTTGATTTTTTTGTAAAAACAATACTTCCTTCTTTCAAAATCCTTCATGTTGTCTTCAATTTCTTGAGAAAATAAATATTTGAATTTCTTATAAGAATATTGACCTTCTTCTTCTGTTGCAATTTTGGAAATTTCATCTTGTTTCTTCTTATTCTAATCAATTTTTAATTAAATGCTGGATATATTATTTAAAAATTACAGAGATAATTTGAGACTTATCCAAGGATGATTTGCCTTTGCTTCTGGAAGGCAGTTAGAAACACTCATTGAGAGTTTAGAAAGAAATGCTATGGAGGTGCATTGATAGAGACATTCTGGTAAATCTGTTATGAGAGGACATCACTGCAAAGTGTTGTTTCTATTGTTGTTCTCTAACATCTTCCTGGTTAGTTTTTCTAATGTCTTCTCATGTTATAACACCTTCTTCGCCTTGGTGGTGAAATTGTTGGCTTTGGACTGATAAAAACAAAGCATTGTATAATCCCTGTAGAAGGTAAATGGGCAGTATTACCTAAGAATACCTAAATTCTTGTCTTTAAAATCCTACACTATACTATCTGGAATAGAGCTACTTTCACAGCAAGAGGTACTTTGCAATTTAGTAAACAATGGCTTCTCTTCACCTTCGCAGTTATTAAGAATGTGTGATGCCTAAAAAAAAAAAATCATTTTTTAAAGAATGAAAAATAATACTGTTATTTTTGTTGATGAACACAGCATCAAATATTACTATCTCTGCCATATTATGTGGTATTACGGATTGTAAAATAAAATTAAATAAAAACCAAATAAATAAATATTTTATTGTTTGCAAATAGTTGTTTTGTATATTTTGTTTAGAGTTTATAATTGCTATGAGCAGAAATTTTGCACGAATAAAAACACTGTCTGTAATTGAACTGTTTTGCGATATTCATAAAAATATTCTCACGAAACATCAAAATGTAGGAAGCTAAAGTAGGGAAAACATACTAGGTTCTTCTAGTTCCCTTTGTTGCTGATAAATCAATCATCAATCTAATTGAATTGTTTTGAAACTAGTCTCTCTTTCCTTTCGTTTTTATTTATAAGAGGTTCTCTTTTTTTTTTTTTTCATTTTTATTATTATATGATTAGTCTAGGATTCATTTATCTTGGTTACTTTTGTGTTTATAGAACTGAGAATTTTTCAGTAATTCTGACAGATTCTGTCAGTCATTACTGTTTTGATAATTTTCTCTTTTATAATTAATTCTCCAGGTATCCTTTTGGAAACTTCATCAAATAAAAGTTACATATTTTTATTCTCCTTGATATGCACCTTAATCTTTCATATTTCCTTTTTTTGTTTTCCTGAATTGCATTCTAGTTTATTGCTTCACATCTATTATATAACTGACCAACCAGATACCGCTTCAGCTTGATCTAATATGTGGTTTAACTAACTTAGTATTTTTTTAATTTAGTCATTAATTTTTTAAGTTTTAAAATTTCTAAATTTTCAAAACTTCTTAATTTTTATAGATTCCTCTTCCTTTCTCATATATTTAACTTATCTTTCATGTAATTAGCTAAATAAAACCTTTCTGTGTCTCATAATTTCAGTATTGGAAATGTTTTTGGTTCTTGATTCTGCTCACATTTGTTTCATCTAGTTAAGCCTCAGGATGCTTCTTTCTTTGTGCATTTGTGATATTTCACTAAATTATTATTAATTCATGACAATGTTTACAGCTGAAGTCAAATTTTATCATACCAAAAAGTATTTACCTTTTACCTGTCAGACAAATAAAAACAGAAGATAATCTGGATCCTGTTAAATTAAAATTACCTGCTTGAATTCTCCCATTCTGCCACCTATAGATCCTGAAATGCTTTGAATATCAGATGAAATGTCTATGAAGTCCCACTCATGAGCATGGATTTTCAGTGGAGAATTATCCCCATAAATCCAGTTTCAAAATCTACATTAGCAAGTTGCTTGCTTGTTGATACTTTATTTTTCACCCCTTAAGATGGAGGCATAGCTTTTCTGGGTTTCCTTTCTTCATTGGGGGAAGCAACGTGAGCCTTCTTATTTGGTCTAGATACTAGAATTTATCACATATGTCCCAGAAATCCATGATCTCAATATTATAAAAATTCATCAATATAAATTTTTTGCATCTTATCAATTTTCAAGGCTTTCAATTTTATCTCTTTTTTAGCTTTTTATATTCACGGTAAGTCAGTGATAAAAAAATTTAAAAAACAGTGACCGTATTAATTGTGATTGGCAGATTTGTTCTGAAAATCCAGGGTAATAAATAATAGGAGACAGAAATAATATGTTTTCTATTTCTCTTCTTTTATAGCTCAAACAGATATAAATATTGGGTGTAAAGTCCCATGTATGTGTAAGGATGCATGTGGGTATATGTGTGTTTACATATAATTATTGATATACAAGCATATTCACAGTATATTTTAACTAAGTCATATGAGGAAGGAAATATAAGATGTTGCTTTCTATTAAAAATTATAGATGTGTTGCAAAAGGAAAAATACAACAATATAAATGATGAATAATTATTCAGGGAAAACATGTAATTTGGTTCCTATTTCAAAGGAGACAACATGTTCAACAAAGTATTAGAAATATGAACACCTTATAAAAATCATAAAACACAAACTGTTTTGTACTGTGCTGAATATTTATTAGATTTGAAATCAAATAGTCTTCACTGTGTGTATCAATAAAATGAAACTTGATATGTTTTTAGAATACTCAACAGACTTACCTTGTGGGAAAAACATTATGTCCTCATTACCATATAACTACAAAAGAAAATTAGACCCAACAGAAAGCTTATGAAAGAAGTGATTATTTTGATAAAAGTGTGTCAGCATAGAATAGGAATAAAAATAGACCAATAACTATAGAAACTATTTATACTATTATGCAAATGTTAAATGTGAGCAGCTGGTAGAATGGAGAAATTATCACGCCTGGTAGTTAATAGTCATGTTGTTGTATAAACACCTTTCTTAATGTGGAAAAGTAATTTTCTTAAGTCAAATGCTTCCATCAACCTTCATAAGATTTTGTCATATTTCTATAAGCAAAGAGAGTGTTGTTTTTCTCTATAACCTATTTAGACTGTAAGATAAATTAATATGCTTATATAAATATTCAGAAAAAGTTTTCTAGTCATTAAAAAATTCATACTATCATACAATTATACAGATAGTTCAAAAATATAACATTAAAAACAAAATAATTTCATAAGAATATATAAGGTTTGAATTTTAAAACTCACAGAAGCAATAGTAACGCAATTGAAAACATGACACTTGTTGGAGATTTGTGAAAAGGTAATATTTTAGTCCATTCTCACACTGCTATAAAGAACTACCTGAGCCAGGCGCAGTGGGTCATACCTATAATCCCAGCGCTTTCGGAGGCTGAGGAGAGCAGATCACCTGAGGTCAGGAGTTCAAGGCGAGTCTGGCCAACATGGTGAAACCCCATCTCTACTAAAAATACAAAAATTAGCTGGGCATGGTGGCACATGCCTATAATCCCAGCTGCTAGGGAGGCTAAGGCAGGAGAATGGCTTGAACCCAGGAGGCGGAGGTTGCAGTGAGCCGAGATTGCACCATTGCACTCTAGCCTGGGTGACAGAGGGAGACTCTGCCTCAAAAAAAAAAAAAAAAAAAGAAAGAAAGAAAGAAGAAAGAAAGAAAGAAAGAAGAAAGAAAGAAAGAAAGAAAGAAAGAAAGAAAGAAAGAAAGAAAGAAAGAAAGAAAGAAAAGAAAGAAAAGAAAAAGAAAAAAGAGCTACCTGACTGAGACTTGGTAATTTATGAAGAAAAAGAGGCTTAATTGACTCAGTTCCACAAGCTGTACAGGAGTTATGGCTGGGGAGGCCTCAGGAAACTTACAATCACGGCAGAAGATGAAGAAGAAGCAAGACAAGTTTTCACATGGCAGGAGACAGAGAGCAAAGGGGGAAGTGCTACACACATTTAAACAATCTGATCTCATGAGAACTCACTCACTATCATGAGAACAGCAAGGGGGAAATCTGCCTCCACGATTCAATCACCTCCCACCAGGCCCTACCTCAAACACTCAGGATCACAACTAAACATGAGATTTGAGTAGTGACACAGAGCCAAACCATATCACATAATAAGAAAAAACTGTCAATTATCAATGTCCCATAAACTCCTAGACTCTGTGGTAGAGATTTTAGATACATTATCTAATTGAACTCATCAATAGTGCTGGAAGTAGACATTATTATCTTTAGTTTAGGTATTAGAAAAGGCAGTTTTACAATATAAATGCCTTGCACAAAGCTACAGAGCTATAAAAGGGCATGTAATGATTTCTAGATATAATCTGTCAAGCCAAGTCATCAATCTTGGCCATTTTATCAATTGAATGGTAAATTCATTTTAAGATTGCATGGAAGACATTTTAAGTGTACTTTAAAATATACATGATTTATTTAAGGTAATTACAGAAATAGTCAAACAAATAAGTAATGTTTTTTTAAAAAATAGCGGCAGTAGTTTATTTGTTTTTAGAAAATAGATAATAATTTATTGACTCTTGCCATGTCTCAAAAACTGTAACTCTTACAAACACTTGTATTTAACAGTGGTGATGCTGGTGTTATTATCAATGATATTATTAACGGCATTCCCTAACATGACTGAGAAGCAAAATTAGTCTCAATAAGTACTATTTGATTTAAATTGAATAGTGAAAATTTGAATACACCATTTTTTTCTTCCAAAGTTTAGTAAACCACAATAAGAAATACAAGGAAACAAAATAAAGATGAAACACAGAAACATACGGGATATGGAAACCAAGGTTCCTTCTCAGAAATGCCATAAAAACAATGTTGTGCAGAAAAGTTACATAGCAGCGTTTGAGTAAAAGTAGCTCAGATAGAAATATTGTTTAAAAAAAATTCAACTCCAGCATGGGCAACAAGAGTGAAACTCTGTCTCAAAATAAACACATAAAATAAATAAATAAATAAATAAATAAATAAAACTTCAAGAGGGATGTATTTATGTAAAAAAAAGGAATTCAATTTCATCAATTGTGTGATTGTGAGAATGGATATTTCATTCATGCAATCACTATCTATCACGCTTCTATTATGTGTTTTTCTAGAGCTTGGAGATAAAGCAGTGAAAAAGAATAGTATCTGCACCCATAGAATTTATCTTCTAACAAGGGGAGAAATGGATAGCAATATACATGTAGGTAAATATAAAATCTGTTCAATGGTGATAAAGAGGTAAGTGAAGCTGTAAATCAGAGTAAAACAATCTGGGAGTTGTTATTATAAATAAAATGGTCAAAGAACACATTATTCATAGTTTAGTTTGTGAGTCAAACAAAGCAAGAGTAATGGAGGAGTGAATTTGTTGAATAGTCCAGGCAGAAGGACAAACAACTATAAAGGTCCCAATGTGGGAGTTGGCATCTGTATTTAAGGGGAAAACTGAGATGCTTGTAGCTAGAGTGAAAACATGGCAGAAGGAGAGGAAAAGACATCAGAGAAGTAGCAGGGCCGCAGCTAATGTAAGTCACTTAGACCAATATAAAGTCTTTCACTTTTATTATGAACAAGACAGAAGGCCAAAAGTAGAGTCCAAACTTGTCTCCTTTTAAAAAGAAACACTCTGAATGTTGTATTGTGACTAGTCTGTGAGCACAGATAGCAGACACATGTATGTGAGACCATTTGGGAAACATGAGATGATCCAGGCTAGAGAGGAATTAAAAGTCAAGGAGTTGATTCATATCAGAAATGGATAGGTTTCAAATATACTGTGAAAGTAAAGTGAGGAAGATTTATAGATGGATTCCATGTATAATGGTGGTAAGTGGGAACCTAAAAAATTACTCCAAAGAACCTTATAAAATGAGAGATAATCTTGAGATTATAGGAAAAAGATATATTTCTCACAAAAAAGAAAGAATTAAATATTTTAAGATAAATGCAAATACATTCAAGAAGTAATGGTCCAATAAAAAAGCAAAGCAAAAGTTAACATGATTTTTAATAATGCTTTGAGATTTAAAAAAAGAACATTTTGACCTTACAGTTATATTCTTTCACTAGAATAGTAATATAATGATAGTGTATTATTTGACAAACTAATACTTTATACAAATGTGTGTGTATACACCCACACACCAATGTAAATAGCATTTGTCATTTCTCAAATAAACACATAATACTAAAGAATTACCTATGTTTGCAGAAGAGAACATATTATTTTGCTAAATTTATTTTGTTTGAAATGTTTTATTACATGTGTCAACTTTAACAATAAATTTAAATGTAGAATTATAGAAACAAAATTTTAAGAGGTAAAAGAATTTTTTGTGAAAAAAATGGATCAAAGATCTAAATGTGAAATTGAAAATTATAAAACCCTTGGAAGAAAATATAGGCATAAAGTCTGTTGGGACTTTTATGACTTCTTTGGATTAAATCATTTCTTATATATAAAAACTAAAACAACTGACAAAAGAAAAACATAGATAAACTAGATTTCACCAAAATTAGAAACTTGTGTTTCAATAGAGACCATTAAGAAAGTAAAAAGACAACCCTCAGAATGGAAGAAAAGAACTATTACAAGTTAACAATAAAAAAACAGATAACCCAATTAATAAATGGTCAAATTATTTGAATAGGCATTTCTCCATTGAAGATGTACACGTGGGAAATAAGCACATGAAAATATATTCAATATCATTAGTCTTTAAGGAAATAGAAATCAAAACCATAATGAGATACCACTTCACATCCCTTAGTATGGCAAGAATAAAAATGACAGAAAATATCAAGAGTTGGTGAAAATATGGAGAAATGGGAACACTCACATTTTGCTGGAGAGGATTTAAAATGGTACCAGCCACTTTAGGAAACAGTTTTGCAGTTTCTCAAATAGTTAAACATAGACTTACTAAATGTCTCAGCAATTCTACTTTTAGATACTTACCCAAGAGAATTGAAAGTGCTTGTATATGAATTACTTAGCAGCATTTTTTATAATAGCTGGAAAGTGGAAAAATCCAGCTGCCTGTCAATTGATGAATGGATAAATGCAATGTGATATATCCCCACGATGTAACATTATTCAACCATTCAAAGGAATGAAGTATTGATAGATGATACATGGATGAAGCTGTGAAAGAAGTACTTTTAAAAAGCCACACATAAAAGGTCACCTATTTTATCATTTCATTTATATGAAATGTCCAGAAAAAGCAAATGCTGGGAGAAAGAAAGTAGATTAGCGGTGTTCACAGGCTAGAGGGAGAGGGAATAAGGAGTGACTGCTTATGAGTACACAGTTTCTCTAATGGGTGCAGAATATCCTGAAATTAAATGGTGGTGATGGATGCACAATTCTGTAAGTATACATAAAACATCTAGATTTTACACCTTAAAATAGTGAATTTTAAGCATGTGAATTATATCTCAATAAAAATTAAAGTAAAAAAATTATTAAAATCTTTTTTAAAGAATTTTGAAATGTATGACTCATTTTACAAGCTGTGAATGGTAAAAATGAATAAAGATATTAGGTGTAAACTTATGTAGAGGAATAGGATAGAAGCAGTTTTTTAACTGACAAAACTGGATGTAATCAAAAATTCTATGTTGAAATTTCATGCAGTTTTTACCATATGTATAGCTCTGAGAAATTCTTCAAACTCTACAATTTTCAATTTGGTCATCAGAGATATGAAACTTTACCTTACTCACAGCAAGGCTATAGCATTGAAAATTCTCAAGCATGAGAAAATGCTTCAGAAAAGTATTTTGTCTGGATGATTATGGTTGATATGGGTTTAAAGCTCATTTCAGCATACAGATACATAGCATGTACTAAAATGATCGAATCAAAGCCACTCCTTGAGCCAAACCTTTCCAGGGTTTCCTTTCTCTTTAAATACTACCACACTTGTTTAAGTGCATTCCCAGCAAAAGTTAAAGCCCTTCACTTGAGTTTTGAAGGTCACAGGCAACTGGAGTTAGCCATCATCATCTTCTTTCCAGGCAATTACATCATGGTTTCTACATATCATTTTGCTACAAACTACCTCTTGGAGCCTAACTCCAAATGGACGTCATTCCCTGCATTAATATTTGCCTTCACCCTCCAGGGGACCCAAGGTACATTCTTCTAAGAAATTACTTACTAGGTTCTTCCCTGTCCACTAGACCACAAGGTTGGGCCTACAGACTTCTCAAATTAACAAACATGTAGTCATGTAGTCTCATTCTATACGTACTCTGGGTCACTAGGTCTCTCAGAGCCTCCTTTTACAGTCTTCTCTTTCTCTCTCAGTCACTCTCTCCATCAGCCTTCTCCCTCCTTTGCTCCATCCCTTGCTTAATCGACTTTGATAAACTGTGTATTCAGAAAGCTAGGATGCTATTTGGTGGTAACACTGCTCTTTTTTT